>NC_000008.11:31678284-31981314 GCF_000001405.40 Homo sapiens | reverse complement strand
AAGAGGCAGTTCCTAAGTTGTTTACCAAGAATATACTTTCAAATACATAAGCTATCGATTGGCTATACATTGTTCTTTGTATCACAAATTCCAGGAACATGAAGATAATAGGTGACACAACTAGTCTGGAACAAAATGTTTCCTAACAGTTGTCCCTGGGCACAGGTATGGTATGTGGCCAAAGTCCCATACTCATGTCTCTCTGAGCCTGATAAATTTTGCATACATTACAGAGCTCAGATTGCTCTGTCACTCTACAGATTTCTAAACCAAGACATAAATATCTTCTGGGTTAGCATTTACTTTAGGCAGTAAATAGGTAGAAGAAATATTTTCCCATGCATTGAAATATTTAATAATCCCTTTTCAGTCATTCCTCGATTGCTACTTACATAGAACATTGTCACATTCATTGACATATAATTTTTATTTCAAGAAGATATCAACGTGTTATTCTCCCACCTAGAATAAAATAAACCACTGCAAAATATACTTTTAAGTAAGCAAAAGAGCAATAGTAATACATTGCTATTAATAATTATCATGCCAAAATATATGAAATAGCACACAGAAAACATGGGACTTCATTCATTTCCAACTTGAAAGGAGATTGATTGGAAATAATTATCTAATCTAGACCTAAACCTTTATGGTAATTTTAGAAGAAACTAGAAATATTACTGGTAATAGAATTAACCACATTTGATGTGTACACTGCTCAAATGCTGCAAACAACAAATACCCAATTCCACACTTTACTTTGGTTGCAGATATATAGCCAGTGGATACAGATGAAAGCATTTTCTAAGCCAAAATGTAATTTTCATTTGGCTATTAGGAAACTCTAGCAATTAAGAGACATATTCATAAAGGGAACAATATTTTCTAAAAAGACAAAAAGGCTAAACATTCAAGGAAGCTTAGATCCCAAAAGTAAAGATAGAAAGAGGAAATAAAATTACAGGGACTGTACATGGCAACATAAATTCAAAGGACGGTTAGTTGCAGTACACCTCCCACCAGAGACTAAAGGACATTTCCTGAAAGATTCTGAACTGAGAGTGACAGGTGACCTAGCCAACAAAACATGTAAGTAGTTTCTTACATCAATTAGCAGAACCATTTCATTCATTAAAGCTGTTAACTAAGTTCCTAGAGCACAGTGGTTAAAAATGTAGGTTCAAATCCTGAACCTATTAGTAACTAATTCCATCACCTTGGCTGAGTTACTTCTCAGTAAATCCATTTCCTCATACATAAAACAGGGATAATAATAGCACCTATTTCAGATGGTTGTCTTGAAAGTTAAATAAAATTATTATTTGTAAAGTGCATAGAAAATGAGTAACACACAGTGCACACTATATTAGTATTTGTTAAATAGACATATAAATTAAAATGCCACTGATTCCAATCAGATGCTGAGGAAGCTGTAAAGAATTAATAAAACATTTTGAATAGAATGCTTCATTGAACAGGCATATTAGTGTTATTAAGTTCTTGCCTATATTTTAGATGAGTCTGAGAAAATCTTGGGATACAGTTTTACTGTAATATAATATTTGTTCATTATTAACAGTATGCCAAAGACCTGGAACAGAAATACAGGCATATGAGGCAATATTTGTCCTCAAGGTGCTTAAAATCTAGTTTGGGGAAATAGATAATCATTAATTGAAGAGCAGTATACAATTTCAGTGCAATTGCCAGAAAACACAGTAAATGATATCAAAGAAACCACTGCCTAAATAATTACAACAAAAGTAATTGCAATAGGAATTCCAGAAAGAAGAAGATAGTTCAGCTAAGGTAACCTAATAAGATTTTATATAGGAAGTAAGACAGGAGTTGGGAGTTGAAGAATTTGACGAGGCAGACAAGACAGGGACATTTCTGATGAATAGAACAGTGTAAATATAAGTTGAAATGAGAAAGCAAATGCATATTTGGGGAAGAAATCAGTAAAAACTGATTAGAGAGGATGGTTCAGAGAATGAATAATGAAGACATGGTTAGAAAATGCCATTTAGGTTTAGCTCCATTATCCTGTTTCCATTCACAAGCAAGAACCTGGGTTAACCCATAGAGAATAAATGAAGTCAGGATTCCTGGGCCAGTTGTACAAACAAATCCTGGGGCATGGGAGAGGGAAAGAAAGGGAAGAATCTGAGTCATTGTGCTGACCTGCTTTCAGCAGACACCCCAGGTGGATCAGCAGGTATAAGACAGAAGTCAGAGCAGGTAAGATGGAGCCTCTCTGGGAAGACCTTGAATATCAGGCTAATGAGTTCTGACTTTATCACATAGGTTATCAAAGTCACTGAAGGCTGAAAGTTTTATTGTTTTTAAAGGACAGTTAATTACTAAAATAAAATAAGCCAAAGGACAACCCATTGCTTTCCAATGTGAAACCTGTGAAAAACTAGGGGTTGGCAATAGACAGGCACCATGAAATTTGAACTATATGATTAATTATGATTCTCATAAAAATTTATCATGTCCTTAGTAATTCTTACATTTTTAAACATCTCACATACATGGGATATATGGATTGGTTGTCTCAGGTAACATCTGGCAAACAGGGTGCTGTCTATTTAAGCAGATTCATTTTTATATAATTTGCTTATTAGTATTTTCCCTTATTTTTAGATTGAGGGAAATATCCACTATGACTCTTTGGTCTTTGTAGGATATTAAACATCACATGGGTTTAAAGCTGTCTGCCTTATTGTATTTTAGAGTACCAACTCACACAAAATGAATTAATGCTGCAACATTAATCCATCGGAGATGTAAAAGTAGAAAGACATGAAAATAGTACTGCAAATTATATATCATTTGGCATAAAGGTTCCAAAGAAAATAACAAGTTTTCAGGGAGAAAATACACTGTGAATCTGCATTGTGAGAACAAGAATCTCTACCAGTGTGATGATTTTTATGAGCAGCACATACACATAAAAATCAAACAGAGAGTGGAGAAGCCTGACTTTATGACTTCATGAACAACATATCATCATTTCTAATATTTAGTGAGAGACAGCAAAAGTTCCTTAAAAAGTTAAATTTTGATGTCAATGGATTAGTTAACAAGGGTTTCCTTCTAACTACTTAAAGATATTCTAAATTAAAGGAGGAAATAAATCAGTGCTATTATTGGCCATATTTAACACATCTGAATGCTCAAACTGAATATGAATACATAATTATCAGAGGCAAATTCAACCAGGAATTCATTAGGAATCCATTTGCTAGTGATCTTTTGTGTTGATATATTCAACAATCCTGTTACATTTGAGAGGGCATTCCCTCATCTTAATGAGTTTCCTTTGAGGCACTGAACATCTATCAGTGAAAACTGTCTCCATAATTTCTGTACATTGTAGAATCCGTTTGTCAAGACTAGTTGACAAACCATCAAACATTTGTTACCCTTCCAAATGACTTATGAATTTGGTATTTCTGATTTAGTAGGAATAAAGAATAAATGAAGAAATGGTCCCTACACAGAATTGAATCTGTTGTTCAAACTCTTTGAGATGAATATCGATACCTGGTGAAAGACTTTGAAAACATTCTTCCTCCTCCTAATTAGCATCATAGTTGTTTTCCATTATTATAATTGCTGTTATTACCATTCATTTTTAGTTTACTATTCTTTTATAAATTACAATAAATATTTTTAAATTTCACCTATAATTGGTTTGCTTGTATATTGGATGTCCACTGAGTGGTTTGCAGATATGAAAAAATAGAGTGACATTGATGCATAGGATGAATTGGAAGAAGAAAAAAATGGTAGACAGAGAGATGAAAAATAATTCCAATGAATTAGTAGAGGTCTGAGATGGCGGCACTAGAAATAAAACTAAAAAGATAGTTGAAAAACAGAACAGGAAGAATTTCTGGATGTTGCCCCAGACTAGATATGGAAAACATGAGAGGAGTCACTAAGTTAGACTTTAAGGCTCCAACATTAGGGGAATCATTCTACCACAAACAAAAGAGAAGGGAAGTCAGCAAGAGACTGATTTATCCTGGAAATCAAGGGTTTCAAAATAGACATGTTGAATTTGAAGTTAAAATGGTAATGTCCAAGTAAAGAAGTATATGTTGATTTATATAGAATTAAAATATAAATTATTTGGTTCTGTACAGCTGCTTTTAAAATATTTGAACATAGATGGTTTGCGGAATGACAACGAGGAAATTACATTGGTAATTTGCCCAAGAAACTGTCTTCATGCACAAAGGCAAAGAGCTCATGCTCTGAATTAGTGTAGTCGAGATTAATGCAAACACTCTATATGGAATAATTATTAGTACTAAATGTTTTAGCATCAAACCACAAACATTTCATCTTCATAAGTAATAATATGTCTCTATTTTGGATAATCAAGAGATATGAATCTTATATAGTTTCAGGATTTCATTTATACGTTTTCATTGATATATATTTCCAGTAATTTTTCTGTAGGAACAGATAAGAAATTCTCCCAAAGAGATGGCAGCAATACAAACACAGCTTGATATTTACTGTGAACCATTGTCTGTTTCACTTCACTTTAGCATTTGCTTTTCTTAGAATAATTGACAGTGAAAAGTACACACACACATACACACACACACACACACACACACACACACACACACCCATGGCAGATCCTCACCCATTGACCCTAGCAATCTCACAAAGTGAAAACAGCTGAGATGGAATAATGAAAGGTAATAAAGTTGGAAAAACAAAAGGTTTTCTGTAGAATGGATTAGAGGATTATTTTGCTATATCTTCTCAAAAGTCATATTATAATAAACTAATTTCATCTCCCCCCACCACTCACATGCAACATGTCAGTGGTAGTGAGCGTCATGGGCTGAGGGTCCATGTCACTGAACTCTTGTCAGAACATATGGTTAATATACAGATTAGCTAATCAAGATATGTAGACAGTACAAAAATAGCTCAGAAACCTACAAAGATGAAGGGAGACCCAGAATGCGTTTAAGGTAGATAGTAGGGGAAACAAGAAATCAGCTAGGCATCTACTGTATAACATTAACTTGAAGCAAACCGTTGATTTCATTACCAAGCAGTTAAATCCAGAACTCCCAATCTTTTACCAAACAATGGTAATTGGCAGACATCAGGATTCCTCAGCTAATGTTGATATCCTCAAAACGCCTATATTAATGCAACACATAATAAATTATGTTGTGTTGTATACAACATGTCACTTTACAGCCATTTAATTCCTAGTTCTGTTGTAGTCACTAGGTAAGCTCCCAAGGGTCTTTTAGCCTTTTCTTGAGATTTTCCACTTGTCTTGAATAAATAATACTGACATGTTAATACCATCACCCAGGAATCAATTGCAAAGGAAACTTTGTGAAAAATGAATATAAAACAAATATAAAAGCAATAGAATGTTGAGTTTAAATATGAATAATTATGTATTTATAGCATATAGTCTCATGAGAGACTTTTTTCTCCATGTAAAGTGTCAATTTAGGCCACTTAACCTGAATACTTCACCTATAATTAAAATTGTTAACTACAGGGACACAGAGGTATCCTCATACAGCATGTGGAGAAGTCTACACTCACAGAGAGCAGGGTTATCTGATTACCCAGAGAAACAAGTTTTAGATAAACCATAATTATCCTAGAGATAGTTTTGGTCAGGACTGAGAATTCTAGTTTTCCTTCCTTTCTTTACTTTTTTCTTTGTAAACTGTCACATTCCCTAAAGTCATTCTGTTCACCTTTCCACAGTGGTATGCAGTACTCCCATGAGTTTAGTATTCAACAATAAACCCCAACTCTAGGAAATATTTCACTAACATCAAGTTAACATGTCCTATTCATGTTTAAAATTCTGCTTCAGAAAATCTGGCTCTCCTTTAAAAACTAACTCATCAGAACATAACCCCTTCCCCAGTTCCCATCCTCACCTCCTGATTCTCTTCTGCCTCAGAACTGTGTGGGGTAGTGCAGCCAGCGGTCTCAGCCTTGGGTTTGGAGACACGGGGATCTGAGCTTCACCCCTGCTCTGCCTCTTGTAGTTCTGTCATTGTGTAACTTACCCCACCTCTCCGAACCTTCTTTCTGAAGTGGGGATGATATTACATGACTCATAATGTTGTTGTACAGAATAAAAGTCTGTGAAGTACATGGCAGGAAATCTGACACTTAGTAGGTATCAAATAATTCTACACTATTATAATTATTTGCATGGAAACACAGAACCCTGAAAGAAAAGATGACATACACAGTAAAGACCCAGAACCTAGTCCTGCTTCTGAACTGCCACAGAAAACCCAGCATAGACTGAAAGCAATTTTTCATCCAACTGTCAGGTGCCCTGCGACATGAAAGCTCATCACATACTGACTGAGCTGAGGTGTTCCCTGCAGTTGGATGTCTCAGGGGGTTTGTGGTGCATGTCTTTCAGTGAAATTATGCCTTCAAGGACTCTCTTTAGAGTCTTTAGAATGTGTACAAAAGATCCAATCAGCTTTAAAATAACCAAAGAATTAGCTGGCTTTAAGGAACATTTGTTCATTCTTCGCTATTTTGTCAGTGAAGGTCATAAGGTGCACACTAAATTATCTGGAGGGACAAAGACACGGGAGATTCAGTAGTGCGGTTCTTGCCTGTGAAGTGGAAGGCCCATGTAAACATAGCCTCCCTTTATTGAAGGCCTACCATAGTAGTGCCTGGCATAGAATAGATGCCCCAAAGTTATTTGATGACTGAATGAATAGACTGACAGTCAGGGTACTTCGGAGCAGAGGGGCACAAATGCACAAAAATCTGGCAGTTGTACTCTTGACAAATAGATTCACAAAAACATCATTAAGAAATTCAAGGCCAGGCACAGTGCTTCATACCAGGTGGGAGGAGGATCACTTGAGGCCAGGAGTCTGAGATCAGCTTGGGCAACATAGGTAAATACTATCTCTACAGAAAATTTAAAGAAAAAAATTAGCCAGGCAGGGTAGTGCACCTGTAGTTCCAGCTACTTGGGAGGCTGAGGTGGGAGGACCACTTGAGCCCAGGAGTTGGAGGCAGAAATGAACCATGATAGGATCATGGCACACCAGCCTGGGTGACACAGCGAGTCCCTGTCTCAAACAAAAAAGAAGGTAATGTCATGTATATGCCTGTTGTTTTGTTTTGTTTTGCCTATGAACATGAAGACTCATATAACGTGACAAGTTTCAGCATCTTGGAGAACATCTTCCTAGCGCTCAAGGTTAAGTTTTTCAGCACTGACAAAAGAGCGACAGTTTGAAATCTGGACCTTTCCAGATGTGCTTAGATGGCCAGGGAATATCTTCCCTCACAGCCCACCCATGATTCTCACTCTTGAAAAGCGCTCTGCTAAGACGGAGAGTGAATTTCATTCAAAGCTCTTTCATAGCTTTTCAATACTAAGTTCTCTCTTTTATTGATCTCCCTTTAAATGCTGGGCATCTTAATGAGTCTTCACTGGTTGATAAATTTGGTTCATTAAAGACAATTTGGTCTATCCACACAGACAACAAACCATTATCAGGAAATTTCCTGAATCCTTGCCCCTCCCTATCCTCTCCCTACTCCAGGCCTGAAGATTTATCTTATGTTGTAGTATGTTTTCACATTAAATTGTAAGTAATTGTATGCTAATTTATGGGACTCTGAATAGTATGATTAAAAGAGGACTGGACTTGGGGGCTAGCAAGAGCTAGATTTTGATTTGAGACATGGCATCAACTGGCTGCATGACTTTGAATAAATCACGAATATTTACGGAGCCTTGATTTTCCATCTATTCTGTAAGAGAGCTGGACTATGAATCTCTCTACTCCCTTCTCAATTCTGAAATTTGAATAAATCCCAGGCTTCAGTGTGGCATATGGTAGGTGCTCAATAAATATTTACGAGTTTATACAAAGGAACAAGTTAATAATTAGATCTAAAAATAGTTAGAACCTTTTCATCTAGAGTGATATCTACAAGATATCTAATGACAAAAGCAAGAAACAGAAGATGTGTATATTATGATCTCATCTTTTAAAACAAAGCCCAAAAGCCTGTATATCCACAGTATGCTTGTGTGTTTATAAGTATATGATGGTATATGTATGAGTGTGTATATATTTTTAAGCATATGAACTTGGGAAAAAATCCCAGATACATTCTAGATTATTGACATAGTTTTTCTAGGTGTAGGTTTATGAGGTGAGGGATGATGTTGGTGTGGAGAATGGGAAGAGGGGAACTGGAAACTAAACCAAAAAGGAAAAGAATTCAGATGCTACATTTCTCCCCATAAATTTATACATACAGTGTAATCACTTTTGCTCACTTCTGTGAAGTTATATATTATGTATGTACACATATAAAGAGAACTTTTTTAAACAGTTTAATTTACCAGTTCCTGATTAGGAGGTTTGGTCATTTTCAGTGTTGTTTTCTCTAGCTCTGAGGCAGAAGAGTGAGATATACAGTCAGCATGAACTTGCAGGGCCTGTAGAATCACACTGTTATGGCAGGTCAAGTGAACACCGTTGGTATGAATGAGTGAGTCCATTCCTGTATTCATTTGACCAGCTGTTCTGACTGGCTGCAGGAGTGGTGAAGGGCGATGAGAGACCTGCTCCAGGGGTTTGTAAAAAGGATGAGTTGAAAGGCCAAGAGAGTCAGTGAGCTGGTGAAAGGGAAATTCAAGTGATCAACATTGGGGTCCTAAAAATGAAGCCTAGGAAGCTTGCAAATAGGAAGGGAATAAAAGGCTCAAAGTTAGAAGTACAGAAGAGGTGAAATAGTAAGCGAGCCTTAGAAGGATGCTGAGATATGAGAGGTTCTTGTTGAGAAAGGATAATAGATACAGTTCCAGTTAGTAACAAGTGCCAAGAAAGTAGATTCCTGTCGACATATGGAGATAAAAGTCCTGGGAAGAGCCGAGGTCAAGGAACTGTAAAGCTAGGCTGTTTGATGAGTCATTCCAAGCAAATGAAGAAATCCCTGCATGACAGGGATTCGAGTAAGACCATGAACCTGGTGACTATTTCACTTGTGGCTGTCGAGGGAGGCACATTTCCAGGGCCTTGTAACTCCTTGTGAGTTAGAAGGAGGGGTAAATTGTGAGCAGCTCAAGGGGAGAAGCCTCTGAAGGATAGATTATTATATAAATTTTGGCACTGGCATAGTGTGGCAAATATTTGAAAACTCTAGTGGGAAAGGTGGAAGCTGCCAGATAGCCACCCTCATTGTCTGAGCATGTGTGTATGCGTGCGAGAAAGGGGGAGTGTGACTTCAAGGAGTTGGTGTCCTTAAAGGAAACCCAGGTTCCAAATGCAGGAAGAAAATGCAGAGAATGTGGAATATTTGTTAACCATCTACAAGTAAGAAATTTGGGCTTCGAGTTAAGCCAGCAGAAGATGACGAGAGTGGGGAAGCACACTCAAAGGAGATGACAAGTGAAGTTTACTAACCAAAAAGAGCCCACACCTTGGATAATGCTTGGGGGAGTTTCAGGGGCGATGAAAGAAAAGAAAAAGGAAATGATTAGCCTGGAGGTAACTAAAATTGTCTTCAAGGTTTTTGTTTTTTTTTAAACAATTTAATCAGTTTTTTTCTTTTTCTTTCTTAGTGGTACATAAAAACATGGTGAATCTCAATGATAAGATAATAAAGTCAAAGTACTGCATTTAAAAGCTGACTACTGTTGGTTAGGAAAACCACATTATCTTACATTTTCCAGAATGGTTTCAAATGTAGGCATTTTTTTTTCCTTTTCAGAAAAGATTATTAAATGCTTAACTATATAGCATTTACGTTTTATAAATCTGAAAGACATTCCTGTCTGTCTGTTCTCAAACCTTAATCCATACACCTTGCACCATGTAAAAATATTAACTTAAAATGCACGGGAGACCTAAACACAAAATGTAAAAAATGAAAATATTTATGACTGTGTTAGGCAAAGATTTCCTAGCTACTACAGCAAAAGCAAAATTGACTAAAAAGAAAACTGATAAGTCAGACTTCATCAAAATTAAGAATTTTTGCTCTTTGAAAGACACAGTTGAGACAATGAAAAGCCAGACTTGGAAAAAATGCATACAGATCACATATATGATAAAGGAATTGTATCCAGAATATACGATGAAGTCTTAAAACAATAAGGACACTACAGTTCAATTAAGAAAAAAAAAAAGCAACATATTTACTATTTTAATGGTTAAATATGCTCTTTAAATATCATAATTTTTTTTTTTTCTTTTGGGACGGAGTCTCACTCTGTTGCCCAGGCTGGAGTGCATTGGTGCCATCTCGGCTCACTGCAAGCTCCGCCTCCCGGGTTCACGCCATTCTCCTGCCTCAGCCTCCCGAGTAGCTGGGACTACAGGCGCCCGCCACCGCGCAAGTTGTTTTGATATGGGTGTTAGCCTGAGGCCCAAGGAGATGCTGCAGCTTGGAATGATTGCTAAGCCTTCAGCTGTCCAAACCATGCTTCCGGTATTTGAGAAGCACGGTAGGTAGCAAATGCTGTACCCACAGTTTACATGGAGGGTAAGGACATGTAAACTGTGGGTACAGCAGTCCTACCTATCATCCTATTTCAGGGCAGAGCAGGACAGTAGATGTGCAGCTGAAGAGCTGCTTAAAACAGTGGGTGGTAACAGGCCAGGTGAGTGGGCAGAAGCAAAGCAAAGAAAAAGCTTAAGTGAAGTTGAGAGTTTGACTGCACAGGGTGCTGTAAGCTCATGTGACTTTTGCTCAGGCCCAATTCTGCTACCTATTGTAGACACCTGAGAACTTCCTGAAAAGACCATCACCTTGTCTAGGCTACCTTCCCAAACTGCTTCTCCCATCTATCCTTAACATGGCAACCTGGTTAATCTTTGTTATTAAAATGCCATCAACCATTTATTTGTAACCCAGAGAAGGAGAGGGTAGCAATGTCCATAGGGTAGCAGGAAATGAACTTAAGGAAATGAAGACTTGGAAGCCATTTATGTGGCCGTAAAGAACCACATACCAAAGAGATACCTTTAGTCCTTCTTTATTATATCCTGAAAATGGTTGTAATCTATATCTGAATTTACTGAGAAGTTAGTATCTTCAGAACCTTGTAGAGGATGAATTAATATTTTCACTATCAGATTATCATTTTCTAGCCAGGGTACTAAAATAGTGAAAGTTGGAAAGATACGCTTGAAAGCCACCCACCGTATACTCAATTATACTCACTATATTCAATTAGCCCCAAGAGGAAATTACCAAATTATTGATAAAATAATTTATCAATTATTTTACGTATGCTTCATTAAGGTAAACAAATCAGTGAATCATGGTCTCACAACTTATAGAAAATATCAGTTTACCTGCCCATTCTTCAGTTTCACAACTCTAAAATGGAAATCATGCCAGGAGTGTTTTGTCTGACTGATCTTTGTCACATACACTTCCTGTCCCCACCCCTGCCCAGAGCACACATACTTCAAAAAGCTGGCAGAAATAAGAGAGACATCCTAAAGGAGGGGTTTTTTAATTTTCCTTATTGAGTTTTTCTGAAATGAAGAGCTTAAGAAAGAAACAGGTAAATTAGGTTTCTGTGTAAGGGAGTAGAGCAAAGGAGAGAAAAACCAGAGAATGGATTGACCTGTGCAAGAAGGACATGCATCTAGGTAGCAGCCAGACACACATGCAGCCTTGTAAAATGAGCTTCCATGCTTTCTCTACAGTGATCAGAACCAATCACTGCAGAGGAAGGCAAGAGCAATATTTGGTAAGGAGTGCTCAGGTGGAATGTAGATCAGGCAGGGCCCCTTCTGAGATCATTAGTATCAAACATTCCAGGATTTGTTGATGTTCAATCAGTTAACTTCTTCCTCAAAGCACCTTGACAGGGTTATGAAATGGCTTACATCAATAAAAAGCTATGAATTCCTCTGAAAAGTGAGACAACATGAACATAAAGTCTTTTACTGCTTTAAAAAATGATCCCAAAATGATATTAGTATTAAATTCTTAGAATTTCATGTTTCCTGAGGTTATCATGCAACGTAACAAAAATATTATGGTTTTGAGAAGAAACTTCACAGTACTTTCATCTGCGATATGAAGTTACTAAAAAATAAAGTAAAATAAACTGAAAGTAGACAGATGGAAGGAATGTCACATGGAGTAAACAGATGATGTGGAAACTCCTGGAAAAGTCATTATGGCATCTCACTACACAGGAATTATAAAGGGCTGCAATCAACTCACTGGTGGTTTGCCAGTGATTAGACTACCATGGTTGAAAACGAAGCGGAGAGAGCGCTCAAATGCTGGGAGAGCTGAGGAGGAGATGAGATGCTGTGAGCAGATATCACTCTTCTAACATAGAGACCTGCATTCTTACATGCAAGTGATGTTAAAGGCACAGTTATAGTATAGGCCTGTAATTGGTAATGCCTCTTCCCTGGCTGGGAGAACAGCTTCTCTTATCGTGTCAATTGCCACATTTATGCCAGCTGGTTGCAGAAGTGGCATATCCCTCAAACTAAAAACCAGGGCCCACTTTGATGCTGCTATACAGATAGAAAAAAACCATGAGAAATAGAATGTGGATTCTTTCTGGGTTTAGGAAGCTAAGGAAATCACTTACGATAGTATATGATGATGCCTGCAGGTTCAGAGACAGGATCCATTAAATGAGGGCAGAAAAGTCAGGCAACTACTGGTTGAAGGGGTACTATATGTCATGTCCTGTTCTAGATGCTGGAGGTATCCATGGAACAAATCAGTCAGGGTCTCTGCTCTTTTGGGGCTTCTGGTTATAATTATGTGAATTATTCTAATAATAATTATGTAATAAATCAAACACAAATAAAGTGATATGTAATTTATATTAGCTCTTTGGGAATAGGGTGAGTACCTATTTGCAAAGGGTGGCAAATACAAAGCAGACTTGTCAGCACTCCCTGCTTTTCCTTTACCCACAGCAGACATGAGCCAAGCCAGTTAGGACATTCTGGGTTGCTAAATCCTTCTCAATACAGCACTCTCTCCTGACAGCTAGTGATGATTAATCAATGTCAGTGTATGATATTTGAAAACTTATGTTTCATGCATACTTATTTTTGCATGCATACTTATTTTTGCCCATCTTATTTTCTTTATTCATTTCTTTTTTGTTTCTTAATATTTGTTGAACATTTTGAAATTCCTTGTCTTAGCAATATTGGAGGAAATTAACAAAAGGGAGGGATGTGCTTCCCTTCTGGCCAGTGTTCATAAGGCAATATGAAGAACTGAGGGATCAGGTCTAGTCTTTTCCACAGCACTTGAAACAACTAAAATTAAAAGCTGAACCTCCAGAAGGTGGGCCTGGGGCTGCTGTACCAGTATTTTTTTCATAGAGATGTTCTCTGGGAGGGCTGGAAGCTTTAACAACTATGACCAGTGTCTCCAAGACGGTACTTTAGTACCATGGGCATTGTCTTTAATCACAGAAGTGGCTGCACTTTTTTTTAGTGCTTTCTCTTCAGCTCTGAATGGCTCTGCCTGGAGTATCAATTGGCTGCCCTGCAGACTGGTGGTTTTTTGGCTGGGTGTAATCTTGCCTTGGTAGTACTGCTGCCTTCTTGCTGTCACTTGGTGCCACTGCACAGAACTGCTGCCTGGTTCCTGTTCCTTCCTCACCCTGCCTTCTGGTTTTCATGGAATTTTGGATGCCTGATTGCATGCTAAGCCTTAACAAATTGTCTTGCTTGGATTTATGGAAACTACTTATCCAGGGCTCTTTCCTTGTTGCCAGGTTTTGACCTATTGCCTTGCTTTCAGCCCTGACCATTCCTATTATAATCCCTGACAGTTCATCTTGCTTCTGACTCCACTGTCTGAGGCTACTCAGACCTGAGTACTTCTCACTATCCAAGGCTGAGTGCGGATGTACTATAGAGGTCTCCTTTTCTTTTGAGTTGCTTTCCATGCCTCCAAGAAAGAATAAAAAAGATGGAGGAAGAGGATAAGGAAAAGGGGAAATAGAGACTAGGAGAAAGAGGGCGTGGAGGAGGGAGGGGAGAAGGAGGAGGAAAGAGATATACTAAGTTCATGCAACTGAGGTCCTGGAGCTATTTGCCCACTAGTTACATCCTTTCCATTTTTAATGCCTTTTTAACTATTTGGCTTTTCTTTGTGTAAAGTACTGAAGGCCATCCACAGCCTGGTTTTTCAATACACTCCCAGGGCTCCTCTTTAACTCATCAGGTAGCACATAATCACTAAATACAAGTTAATTTTAATATGATCCCAAACAAAACATAATTAGAAGAGCAATGTGCTGTGAAAATTATCATAAAAAGCAGTCAAAAGCCAAGTAAAAATGCATTTGAGTTATCTATGGTTTAGGGTTATTTGTGGCTCTCCGTTAGGGCAGAACCGAAGTTGACTTTAGCTATGATTTCATGGTCTATAAAAAAAACCACTGAGAATTGGGTATGGATTGCAGTTGTGTTCAAATATTTTATCAACCTTCTTAAATATCAACATTTACTCAACTTCTTTCTGCTATAATGGCCTACCTGTATTACTTCAAAGTAATATACATAGGTTATTCTCACTAGATCCAGAATGTGCCACATCTATTCAATGGGACAATGCAGTTTGGAATTGGCTGAGGGAATCTTGACCTTCTAAGATTGAAATGTATTAAGCAGCTCCCTAAGGAAGCACTGTGCAGTGAATTGTAGTGGGGAAATTGTAATCAGGGATAATAGGATAAATGTCTCAAATATTTAAAGGTGCAATTTCAAATAATGGGACATATACACCAGCCTAATGTGTAGCTTTCAAAGATTAGGAGTCTCTTGAATTTTGGCTAACTATCAAATGTCTTCATGCAGGTTTTTGGAGTAGATATTCTTGTATTTTTCTACACACAGTTTTAAGAATAATCATAAATATGTCCCTACTCTTATTGCTTTTCCAGATTATTACTCCAGAATGCAAAAGCAAGTCTAGGAGAGATGATTAGGCCCTCAGAATCTTTGTGGTTTGTATCCCTAAATTTCTACATGGTAAGATATAGGTGTTGCAGAAACACAAGATTGACCATAAGTTACAAAAATGTTTCTTGACATTGCACATTTTTTCTCCTTTTCTTCCTAGTTATGGTCATCTGCCTTTCTTGGGGATCCAGCAGTTCACAATGCTTGTTTCTTTTTTTTTTAGTTTCAGGGAGTACATGTGCATGTTTGTTACATGGGTGTATTGTGTAATGGTGAAGATTGGGCTCTCCGTATACACTCAAATAATTAAGATTTTATCCAATAGATCATCTTTCAATCCTCAGCTTTCTCTCTCTCCCCATTTTTGTTGTCTCCAGTATCTATTATTTCCATCTTTATGTGCATATGTGCTCATTGTTTAGCTCCCACTTATAAATGAATACATGAGATATTTGATTTTCTGCTTCTTAATTATTTCACATAGGATAATGGTTCCCAGCTCCATCCATGTTGCTGCAAAGGACGTGATTTCATTCTTTTTCATGGAAATGCAATTTAAAGCCACATGAGATACCTCTTATACCAGTCAGAATAGCTATTATTAAAAAGTCAAAAAACAACAGATGTTGATGTGGAGAAAAGAGAACATTTATACACTGTTGGGAATATGGATTGGTTCAACCCGTATAGAAAACAGTATGAAGATATCTCAAGGAACTAAAAATAGAGCTACCATTGACCTAGCAATACCACTACTGGGTATTTATCCAAAAGAAAATAAATCATCATATTAAAAAAGACATCTGGCTGGGTGCAGTGGCTCACACCTGTAATCCCAGCACTTTGAGAGGCCAAGGCGGGTGGATCACATGAGGTTGGGAATTCAAGACCAGCCTGGCCAACATGGTGAAACTCCATCTCTACTGAAAATACAAAAATTACCTGGGTATGGTGGTGTGCACCTGTAATCCCAGCTATTCAGGAAGCTGAGGCAGGAGAATCGCTTGAACCTAGGAGGCAGACATTGCCGTGAGCTGAGATCACACCACTGCACTTCAGCCTGGGTGACAGAGTGAGACTCTGTCTCAAAAAAAAAAAAATAAAAGACATCTGCTCTTGTATATGAAACCAACCTCAGTGTCCATCACCAGTTGATTAGAGGATAAAGAAAATGTAGTATATATATATATGCCATGGAATACAATGTTCGTAATTCCTTAGGACTAATTCTATCTGGGAACTGGAAAGATGTTAACAAGCTCTTGGCTAAAATCTCAGCTGAAGTTGCTCCATCACTGGCCTGAGTTTGTTCCTATGCTTTGGCCCTAACGATGGAGCTTTTGTCTTGTGTACTTTTTGTCCCACTGTCATGCTGCTTTATTCAAATGTGTCATAAAGAGAGCTTTCATGACCTGCTTCATCACCATGAGCTTTGGAGTCAGATTGCTTGAGTAGAAATGTCTGCTCTCTTACTTATCAGCTGGGTGTCTCTAGACAAGTAACTTAATTTTTATGTGGCTCAGTTACCTCATCTGTTAAAGAAAACGAACTCGTAGCTTGCAGGGAATAAAATTCTCTCTGTCAAGTTATTATTAGGCTGGCCCAAAAGCAACTGCGATTTTTCCCATTGAGAGTAATAGGGTCCTTGCTGTGTTTTGTTATTGTTTTTGATACAGGGTCTTGCTCTGTCACCAAGGCTCAGTGGTGCTGTCATGGCTCACTGCAGCCTAGACCTCCCAGGCTCAATCGATCCTCCTGCCTCAGCCTCCCAAGTAGCTGGGACTACAGGCCTGCACCATCATGCCCAGGTAGTTTTTAATTTTATTTTTGTAGAGATAAAGGTCTCACCAGGCTGGTCTAGAACTCCTGAGCTCAAGTAATCTTCCTGCCTTGGCCTCCCAAACTGCTGGAATTACAGGCATGAGCCAGTGCACCCAGCATTTTGCTCTTTATAGTAAGCTTCTCTGATATTGCCAGCTTGCTTTTGTCTCAAAACAATGTCCACTTCATTTATCTGTCTATGACAGCACTTGCTTGTATCTTCCTAGACTTCTATGATATAGGAGCCTTACTGGCACTAGCTGTCTGTTTCACAACATTATTCATCACATCCTACCCTATTGGACTTTCTTCTCTGCTTTGCAGCTGTTTCTCCTCTGCTTCACCATGACCTGCTCTGATCCTGTGGCCATGTGGGCTGGGAAGACAGACAGCTCTCAGTCTAAGTTATCCTGCTATCCATGACAGAAGTCTAGAGTTACAGACTGGTGTCATCTACCTCACATTTATAAGGTAGCATCCCAGCCAGCCAGTGGCATGTTTAGGGAAGAGAATATGTAGGTTTGAAAAACCTCAGTCTCCTCCAATACATTTTCTACCTGTTACCAACAGGATCAAACTTGCCTACAGAAAACAGCCTGATCTCAATTTCCTCAGACAATTCACCTATTAAAATGGCATGACTGACCTAGAGTTACGGAGATAACTCCTACTGCTGAGCTCTCTCAACCAGTAACCCCTGAGAGCGGAAAGTACAAGAAAAGCACAAACTGTTTCATTTTATCGTATTTGATGGTCAGAAAGTGAAATTACAAACCGTGATTGTTTCACCAAGCAGAAAGGAGACAAGTATAACACCTGTGAGGATGAAATAAAGGGCTTCTTTGGCAAAGAAAAGAGAGGAGATATACAATTGTCTGTCATAAATTGAAATAGGCTCACCTTATTTTGATTTTGAAAGCCACCACGTATGTGGAAATATTATGGCATTTTGTACACAAGTTAATTTAAATTATGCAATAATTATAGGTTTCATTGGCTTACAAACTGTTAATATGTTTATTAACATATCAGTGCCTTATACCCGTAGGCACTGATGTATGCTAAGGCTGATGTATCCAAAATGTATCTAAAAATCACTGGATACTGACTGGACACTGATGTATCCAAAAATCAAAAATTCCAATATTCAAGGTAATGAAATTGAAATGATAATATAAAAGCACATTCTATTCACTTGAAATAATGGATCAAAATATTTAGCTGACACATTGTGTTGATTAGACCAGGAGGAAAATTAAATCAGTGATTCATTTTCATGTCTGCTAATTAGCCCTATTGTTTCATTGGCACAGCCTGTACTAGTTACAGCCTATGATCTGTGTCGCTGTTGGTCAGTACAGAAAATATTGAGGGCATTGACAGATGATTGTAATCAATACGACAAAGACAAATCTCAGTGAGCACATTCAATGGAGATCTAGAACATCCCTCCAAGTCAAATTACAAGGCACTGGGAATATGAGAACACGCAGTCACTTTTAAATCATTTCTGGTATTTTTCAATGTCTACATGATACGTTATGTCCACTTCTACTTATGTCTCTTTTCTCCTTTAAATATAAATGAGGCTTCTCAAAGCTATATTGATTCTCTTAGAAAAGGTTTTAGTACGCTAGCCCTAGTATGTCATCTCATTTTATATAGATATAGCTCCCAAGCTTCAGGGAGAAAATAGATCTAAAAAAATGGCTCCTTTCCCAAAGTGTTTGAATATAAGAGAAATGGCAGGCAACTCTAGGCTTATACCCAGCAGTCCTGGGAAGAAACAGGACTTAAATGAATTAGATATTGATTGCTTGTGTATTTTTGAAATTTTGTTTAATCCGAACTGGTTCCCTAGACAAGGGATTGGATTTGGACATTAAATGACAGCAAAAGTAATTTTTGAAAATATAGAAAACTCCAAGTTTGAAGGTCCCATATAGGTCATTTTATTCCATACTTCAATTCTCTCCCTATCTCCTTTAGGGATTTTTCAGGCCATCACTGAGCATCTCTTCATAAAGGACATTAATTAGTTTATTAGTTACTAACTGTAATTTGCAAAGTTTGAAAACAAGGACTCTTCACTTAACATTGCTAACTCCATAACTCCTGTTATTAAATAGAAGTTTAATAAATAATGTGTGATTGTTTGTCAACCAGGGTGTCACTTGTTGAGAGAGCTCAGCAGTAGGAGTTATCTCCGTAACTCTAGGTCAGTCACACCATTTTACTAGCTGAATTGTCTGAGGAAATTGAGATCAGGTTGTTTTCTGTAGACAATTTTGACCCTGTTAGTAATAGGTAGAAATGTATTGGAGGAGACTGCGGTTTTTCAAACTTATATATTCTCTTCCCTAAACATGCCATTTTAAAATTATAACCACTTATTTCCTGATAGTTATTTCTACACGGTTTGAAGAAGAATATGACTTTCAAACATCTTAGTAACCAGCTTTGGGATTTTCTTTCAGACACACCAAAAAAGATCTGCCAAAGTTCATGAGTAATGCCTCCATAAAGTCCCAATAGAAGGAAACAGATATGGATAAAATATATGAAAATCCAAACCCAAACATAATCTACTAGTAGTGGGTGGTCTATATTGCTTTGACAAATTTAATTTTATCTTTTATTATGTGTTGTTATATATGTGTCAGATGGGTCATTATGCTTCATTAAAAGATTTAGTCATTTGCACAATCAAAAGTGAGCAAATAATGTTATAATTGTTTATGAATCTTAGATTATCATAGCTCCTAGTTTTCCCTTCATGCTTCATTTCCTTTGCCATACTCCAATCTCAGTTGGAAAAGAAGTTGGAGGGAGGCATACAGATTTCATAGTAAATTTTACAGGACCCTTTTATTAAGCCTAGCATTGGTTAAAAATACAAGATCAGTATCTTATCAAAGAAGTGATACAACCCTACATCTTTGTCTACTTATAGTTTACACAAACTATTTTGTACATAAATGAGATACTACTTTTATAAAAATTCTAACAAGTATTTCAGGTAGAATTTTTTTAAATGGAGGAGACAACAATGGAATTCTTTTATTAGTTTCAGTAGATCTATTTCTTAATATTGTGCAGAGTGAGATGTTGTATTCACTTGAACCAACTTTCTGCTTTTAAGCTGAGGGTTAAATTGCCAGAATCAATATGCAAAAAGATGTATGTATTTAAAATTCTTTGCTAGGATCTAATAGGTCTGATTATACTGATTTGGATGCTCTTCCAACCTTCTGAACCCTTCAAAAAGGAACAGCAAGAGAACAGAGAATGCTTTTTACTCTATCGGCATCGATTTACAGTGACTTCCAAAGCGAAGTCTGCACCTCTCAACCAATTTAAATGCACTAGATTCTACTACTCTGAGTAAATTAAGTTACTTTTAATTTAAGTCCACACTCAACTCACACAAACCTCTTAACGCAAATCATCTTCGCAAGTCTTGCTTCTTGAAACTATGAAAAAAAAATTCCAAGGACTGAAAGTCATCTCTAAAGTTTCATTGACAGGCATATCATTAGACACCTACTAAATTGAAATCGCTAAAGCAAACCTAAGGTAAATGAGTAGAAATAGAAGTACAACAAATAATAACTGCTTGGTGAGAAAACAACCCTTTTGTTATGGTTATTAAATCTTAATGTATTGCTTAATAACACAAAAACTGTAAAAGTGGATTAGTGCCATTTTATGTAACACTCCTGTACCTGAGGGTGAAAGGAGAAAGAGGAGTCCCAGGTGTCTGGGGCTGAGCCCCTTACTGGAAAGGTTTCAATTCTCAACTGAGTTGCAGTTTAGCACTCTAAGCTTTAAGAATTATCACTTCTTTGACAACAAGCTGCCAAAAGTAGCTCCGTAGACTGGAAACCAAAGTTACTGGAAGATTCCCAAGAGATACAAGATTTGGGGAAAATAAAGTTAATTGTTCTGGAATCTAACATGACTCAGAAGAGCAGAATAAAATTATCTCCTGGGTTTGATGATTAATCTTCATCAGAGAGGAGAGCTTTCCATCAGCACCTGGCCAGAGACCGAAAGCCATCCAGAAGCCTATCAGAATGATTTAGAAGAAAATGGATCTCCTTCATAGCCTCCTCCATGGTGTAGAATCCCTGAGCGTCTGAAGTCTCCCTCCTCACTCACTCCCTATATGAACTCGTTTGTTCCCACAGCCTCAGCAACTGTCAGGGAAGAACCCCAACCTCATAAAGGATAGCCTAGAATAACAACACTGCCACCCCATTAAGTGTTAAAAGTAGACAATGAGACTTAATGGATCACAGCAATATAGATTTCTTCTCTTTTGTATCTTCCATCCAACCTGTCATTAGTAATCCTACTAAATCTGCCTTCTTCATTCCCAGGAATGCTTTCATTTAAGTCTCCCATGATTTTTCACTTGGATTAGTTTGCAACACTGCCTTTGCAGACCTGTTTCTAAAGGACAGACCTAATTAAGTCATTCTCCCTTTCCACTTTGCTCTTCTCACAAAACTCAGTTACTGCATACTCGAAAATGGTAGCTGCCCATCTGCAAACTCTGCATCCGTGCCTGTGGCCTCAGCATTTTGGGAGGCTGAGGCGGAGGGATCACTTGGGGCCAGGACTTCAAGACCGGCCTGGGCAGCATAGTGAGACTCCATCTCTATAATAAATAAATAAATAAATAAATAAATAAATAAATAAATAAATAATAAATAAATAAATAATCGGTGGTTGCTTGGGGTTCCAGGGAAGGGATGGAAATTTTTAGTTTTATTAATAATTTGTAAATATTAAAAAAAATGTCATTTGGGGCCAGCAGGCTATGCTTAATATTTCAAAATGCTTAAAGATAATCTCCAATTTCTCTGGATAAGGCTTTATAGATTAACTATGAGCTAGAATTATTTCAACTCAGGATAGTACCCGGTGTTCTTTCATGACCCATCAAGACGGGGCCAGGAGCTGGTCTTACGTTCTCCTGTGATTATTCTAAACCTCTCCCCATTCAGCATGATGATGACAAATTGGTATTGCCTGGTGATGCTGAACCACAGACAGGATTGGTGAAGCCTCTTTAGGGCAATAGCTGTATTATTCATTATTGTTTCTACAGAGCCTGGCACTGGAATGTGGGAAGCAGGTAATACATATATGTTTTAATAACTTTTTAGAAACCTGACTGATAGTTTTATACTTGTAATCAGATTAATTGTATTCATTAATACAAAATAGAGACAAGAATAGATAATTTTAATGTAAGCAATCAAGTCCAATGTGTATGCCAACAGAACTTTTCAAGACACAGAGCTCAGGAGCAGAAAATACAAACGAGAAATTGTTAGAGTAGTAAAAGGGAAAGAAACTGGTATTTATTGAGCAACCAGTATGTGCTGGCCTCTGTACCAGATACTTCAGACACATGCTTTCATTTTTTCCTCATCATAATGCTATCAGAGAGAGCTTACATTTAATAGATGTAAACAAAATGACATTCAGAGAGTGATTTCCAAAGTCACAGATTAGCTAAGTAGCAGAAGCAAGGACCCAACAATCTCCTGACTTGAAATCCTGTTGTCCCACAGACGTTTTTAATTGCAGGGAACGAAATACTCACAATCATGACAAATCCAAATGACAGACCTGCCAGTTCTGTTTAGCTTCCTAAAGGACTCCTGATGAATGAATTCAGGAGTTATAAATTGAATAAAAACTTGATTGTATCATAGGTACACACATAGGAAAAACTTAAAATTTTGATTTCTCCCAACTTTTGTATCAGTTGATCCCAGAACTTATGTAATAGTAAAGCATATTTTCCTAATGTGAAGGCTCATTTCCCTCTTCTGCAAAGACTTCTAAGCCTCATGACTCAAGTGGTCACCTTAGGAAGCTTCCTGCCATGCAAGACTCTGTCTCCACTTAGAGCAATAGCATATTCACTACATTCTCCATGTAGGATGGATCCTCAAAAGTTTATGCTGGTCTTTGTCTCCTAAGCAAGTCTACATCTTGTACCCCACAACCCAGCCACATATGACACATTTAAAAATGCCAACAGAGCCACACAATGGGAAGAATTTTGTCCTATCATGATAAGGCATTTGCCTGATGGTGGTAATTTTTTTTTCCCTTTAAGTTGCAGAAGGCCAGGAGGTAACAAAATGGTACCCAAATTGATTATTGTCATGTAAGGCTTTCTTCCTATTCCTATATTCTATTCTTATTTTAGTCTTTTAATTTTGTTTAAAAACACAAACAGGTTTTTATTGGATGTTCATTCCATTTACCTGTTATCTTTAATCAGGAGTTTCAGTCTGTTGTGTTCTGGGATGTATGCCAATTCTTCATGTACTTAGAGATACAAACACACAACACACACACAAACACACACACAAACATCTCTGCCTATCTATCTGTCTGTCTATCTATCTATCTATCTATCTATCTATCTATCTATCTGGTCTCTACTGATGCCTTGCACATAGGTATTAAACTGAATGGCAGAGAGGATACAGATTTAATCTTCCTGGAAAAAGAGAAGGCAGTTCCCTTCAACTAAATGTCATGCAGAGGTCCTCTGTGAGGTAGGTAGTCAACTCAACATATTCTTCTCTGCATCCCTTCATGTTCTCTGATGGGGTAGAAATAGTGCGCTCTCTCTCTACAACTTAATATAAGAAATGATAGAAGATAGAGAAAATATTGAATAAACACCATGAGTGAATGCTTTCCTAGTCTACACCTGTGTCATCCAATACAGGAGCCACTAGACAAATGTGTTTACTGAGCACTTGAAATGTGGGCTTGACTGAATTGTGATGGGCTGTCAGTGCAAATTTACACCAGATTTTGAAGACCTACCACTAAAAAATTCAAAATATCTCATTAACAGTGTTTTACATTAATGACATGTTGAAATGATAGTTTTGGATGAAATTACTTTTTGGAAATGTGGGTACTAGAAAGTTAAATATGTGGCCACATTATTATTCTATTGTTTAGTGACCTACTTCTCTCTGAGCTTTAAAACAAGTTGGCTGGAGTGGCTTATGGTCATTACAGACTAAATAGGCAACATAAAATCCACTTAAAAATAGAAAGAAAGAGAATGGGACTCATACATAGCCCAGTGCACCATATTTTTCTGGACTGCATTTTAATCATGAAATGTGGCATGTACAGGTAACTATATGAAAGCAAGTTAGTGCATGGGTATGTGTGTGTTACAGTAAAAATTGCTTCTAGGTCTCATTTCACCTCCCCTCAGGGACACCCCCTTGTAAAACCTGCCAAAGACAAGAAAAAAAAAAAAACTCTTTGATTTGAATTGGCCAGTGCAAAACTCATAATTTTCTGACAAAAATTCCCCAACTTTTTTTGTACATGAGAACATTACGGCATTTGACAAATTTGGCAACTATCACTTTTAACATCTAAATTTGCCTTATATCCCATAGTCAATATTTCCAGAAACCTAGGGGTTTTTTTTCCCCCTCTATTTCACCCTGGTAGAAATAATATTATTTGGACAATTCTCAGAAGGGAATGAATAATGAAAATTCACATCTATTCTCCAAACCTCATTTATCCAATAGTTTTACCCAGAGCAGCTAACACAGGCAAAAGTATATGGGTTTTGAATGTCAGATTATTATACATCTTTTATCCATGAAATTGCTGGAAAGTCATGAGCCAGATGGCACACAACCAATGTCATAGAAAATGTATGGGGACCTATGTCATAGAGATTTGGGTTCAAATCCCAGTTCTGCTGCTTACAAGAACCCCCATCTTCTCATCATGTTATATGAAAAATATTTGCGAGGATTAAATCAAGTAATCAAGTAGAGCGCTTGGCTCACAGAATACTTTTTTTTTTTGAGACGGAGTCTCGCTTTATCGCCCAGACTGGAGTGCAGTGGCACGATCTCGGCTCACTGCAAGCTCCGCCTCCTGGGTTCACACCATTCCCGTGCCTCAGCTTCTCGAGTAGCTGGGACTACAGGGGGGCACCCGCCACAATGCCTGGCTAATTTTTTTGTATTTTTTTAGTAGAGATGGGGTTTCACCATGTTAGCCGGGATGGTCTCGATCTCCTGACCTTGTGATCTGCCCACCTCAGCCTCCCAAAGTGCTGTGATTTACCGCACCCAACCTAGAAGACTCTTAATGAAAGTTAGCTTCTCCCTCCTTTTCTTCCCACTTACAAAGTCACCCTGTGCCTACACATTCACATTACCTCATACTTATCAGCACTGACTCTCTTTCTCTCTCATTTTTTAAATTGTCTTTTCAAATGCTGGGCTTGGGGAATTCACAATTATGGGCCACATTATCAGCTGTTTGGGTTCTATGAAGGGACTTGAATTTTATCAGTATATGGGGGAATAATGCATAAGATGAAGCTATAGACTTTTCCAAGGTTTGTTTTTTGTTTTTTTGTTTTTTTGTTTTTTTTTTTTTGAGACAGGTTCTCACTCTGTAACCTGGGATGGAGTGGAGTGCTATGATCATGGCTCACTGCAGCCTTGATCTCCCAGATTAAAGTGGTCCTTACACCTCAGCCTCCCTGGTAGCTGGGACTACAGGCAGACACTACCATGCCAGGCTGATTTTTTCTTTTTTTTGAAGTAGGGACAGGGTCTCACTATGTTGCCCAGGATGGTCTCGAACTCCTGGGCTCAAGGATCCATGTGCTTCAGCCTCCCAAAGTGCTGGGATTACAGCCATGAGCAACTGCATCATGCCCAGGTGGAACTTTTAAATTTAAAAAAAATCACCCTCAGAAGCAGCTGTCTGCATCCCTACTTTTTGAGGCTGGGAAGGAACAGCAAACAATGGGAAAGTCATTTACCTCCTGGAGTCACAAGGGCTCCCTGACCTCTTTCTGAGATTCCAAAAAGCACCGACAGCCTAGATTCTTCAGCATGTGGTGTCTCTGTCTCAACTTCTTACCAGATCTACCTTGTTGATCAACAGTGCAATCTGCTCAATGGAGCAAAAATCAGCCCATTCCCAAGTAGAGTGTGAGTCCTCTCTTTCTTTTGTCTTAGAACTTGTGCTCTAGAATGTTTTCTGGTCTGAGATTCTGAAACTGTACATTCACTTTTCTATTTATACCAGCTTCTCAAATGAAGCATGAAAGGATCTGTATTGCATGTTAGAAATATCTTTCAGTGTTTCTAAACTATTCTGCAGCATTGTTTGTGGAGATCCTATTTCATTCACTAATTTTCAACTTATTTATTTTATTGTGGATTTGCTTAGTCTCTTATATGACTTTTATTTTTTAAAAATTTAATATTAGGTTGGTGCAAAAGTAATTGCCGTTTTGCCATTACTTTTAATAATGCCAATTTTAATAATGCCATTACTATTTAATGGAAAAAAGCACAACTATTTTTACACCAACCTAATAGTATCAACTAAATAATTTAAAAACATTTTGCAGTGACATCTCACTTACTCTCTTTCTCTTTCCCTTCTCTCATCCCCTCCACTCCCTCTATTTCTCTTATTCTCCTTCTTTCCCTCCTCTGTGATAAGAAATATTCTCCTTTAGTATAAAGAACCTCTATCTTTGCTCTGAGTGAACTGTCCAGCTAAAGTATTGGAGGTCAAAGCCAGCGGGGGTCATTGGCTCTGATAATTAGAACGCCTAGAGACCTTAATTCAAAGTTGTGAATTGACAGATCTCTAGGGGAAATCGCTATCTTGTCAAGAAAATGTTCTATGTCCCACAGATCAAATAAGATACAAATATAGAGATGTTACAAGAGTACTCATTCCATTTTCACAAAGAGAGAAGCAATCTTCACTACCCCTAACTGCATAAATCTATGTGGGGTTAAGAGATATAGATTCTGTCAATTACAGGCACCAAAATATAATTAAAAGACTTAAAAACTAATTTAATTAAAGGAACAGTTACCCACATAACAAGGGTTAACCATGCTATACAGACAATTAGCAGGAGAGGTTTAATGCAATACAAGTCAACAAATGCCTCTTGAGAACCTACTAATGCAATGTGTTTAGGTACACTAAAACACATTCTCTTCTAACAATAAAAAAAGTTTCTGAGCATTTTCTCTCTTACATCCTAAGAAATCATAAACTATATTTCCAAAGAACTTTTCTTCAACCTCTCTCTCCAGTAAAAGCTTTATTATCCTACATGTTCACCCACTTTGCCATTGACTAGCTATGGGACCTGAGACAAGTCACTTTTCTCAAGTTATTTCAGTGTCTTCACCTCTAAATGGGGGTTGGAATGGAATATCTGTCCAAAATCTAGGGCTAGGTCTGTTCCAGCTCCAGGGCTGTGATTTTATCATTCTACTAGGGCAACAAAAGATGGGGTATAGAGGAGGGATGGGAAAAAGAAGGATGTCTGTCAAACAAATTTTATGGCTGTGTTATTTTTTTTTCCTAATTTGATCTTCCTCTCTGGGTTAAAGATATTAGTGACCATTTATGAAGGTCCAGCTATTTAACAGACAGTAGTTTAACATTTATTATTGGCCAGATTTTATAGAGGAAAATACTAAGGCACAAAAAGGTTTAGTAGCCTGCCCCAAATCAGAGCTAACAAGCCAGGGACTTCTCCCTCTTCAGAGCTCTCACAGCACATTTTAAGTCCTTCTTTCCGTGTGCGACATCACCTTCTTGTTCTCTTTCTCCATTCTTGATGTTCAACTTTTTGAAGTTAAAGCCCCCGTGCTTAGCACCATGCCAGGAATATAGGAAGTGCTCAATATATGTTGAAATGACTGAGAAGGCAGAAATGGCCTTATTTGCGAAAAATATCAGTGTTTTATATTAAAAATAAACCCCAAAAGTCTATTTATATATTGCCAAGTAGACTAAAGTTCTGGCCTTTACAGTGAACTACTCTTTCTCCTAGGATGATCTTTTTTCTCATCTGACAGATTCATAAGCTAATGGAGAAGAGAGATTGTGTACTTTGACTCACAGACACAACTACATTCGTGTCTACATTTTGATAAGTCAGAGAAATTTCTCTTCACTTTAAGTATCTTATCATTCTTATCCAAGCACCTCTACCAGTTTAATTCTTTGCTACCTTATCATTCTCCCCAAACATATTGTAAAAATTTCAAACATTCCACAAAGTTAAAATAATTTTATAATCAATAGCTGTATTTTATACTCAGATGGTAACATTTTTATTATATTTGCTTTCAAACATATCCACCCATTTATCTATCCCTCTATCCATCCGTCATATTTGTTGACGCATTTCAAAATAAATTGCAGACATCTTTCTACTTCCCCTAAATACTTCAGTATGCATATCTATGCTAAATTACCTTTTAAAATTACATGAAATATTTGTATGCTGTGTTTCCTATTGAATCTCAGAAAAAAAAAACCCTTTTTGCTTTTTACTGAGTTTGGGGCTCACTTGCTATTGAAATTGAGGCCCAAACCTACAAATTATTGCCTGATTAAGAAGAAAGCATATTAAGAGGTAGGTCCATGAGAATGAAATGCCTAAACATTTTTTAATGCAAATAATTGAGTCAGGAAAATACTGCATAAAATTAAAAGTCTAGCCTTTAATTTTCATTCAAAGAGACAGTGATAATAATGTTAGTGTTTATCTCATGACTTTATGAATCAACAAATGATGGCATAGCATGTTAGATCATTAGAACATCGTTACTGAGCTGTAAGTCCACAAGGTTTCAGCAGGGAAAGCTACCATGACATTTTGCGGTCTGGGTCAAGTGTTTGACAAGGGCAAAACTCCAGGAATGTACCAGCCACCTGTTCATTAGATGTCAGCTCATAATAGGCCCAAGGCCAATGTAGGAAATCACACAAACAGCAATTTTCAAAGTTAATGATCTAAAATAATTAGATCAAATGTAACAGTTGTTTGTTAGTTGTTTGGCAAAAGCCAAAATCCAAGTGAGAAAAAAAAATTATTTAAACACTTCAAATATCTTGTTGAAGTCCCTAAGGCAGGTGGTACTTTTCCTAACTTAGTGCCATGCTGTTCTGCCTGTTAGACATACTCTGCTCCCCTGAGAAATTGCTAGTACTCATTCATTGTATCACCCCAACCACAAATTTTGCTTCTTCTCTGAAGCCTTCTTGGTCTTTTCCCAGCAGAAGCATTTCCTCTGTTCAATTCTCATAGCAATTGTTCAGTATCAATTATTATGTTATGATTTGATTTGTAATAAGTTCTTTACACGCCCATCTGTCCCCATGGCACCTTCATCATTTCAGAAAAGTTCCAGTCATGATACTTGGTTTCTAGTAGGCGCTAAAGGGATGCTGAATAAATTAGAGTTGAAGCCTATGCCAAATCATTTCAAGCCAGGTGGTATGGAGGAAACATCCTATAATACTCCTGAGAATCCACTGACCAACTAAAGAGAGGAAAGAGCTGGTTAGCAGCAGACCGCAATATCAACTTAGATTCTGAAAGTTCAAACAAAAGCTGTAGGAAAGTAAGACAGTCGGTTTCTTGCTGAGTTCCAAATTTAAAAGATCCTGATTCAATCAAAAGTCACCAGGGCTATGTGAGTGGAATTTTTGTCTTAGTGAAAGAGCATTTTAAAAGGGAACCCCTTGCTTGACGTAAACCAAGAATATTTTACAGGCCATAAGATTTAGTTTTATGTCATGTCATGCTTTTGATCAAAAAGGTATTTTCCATATTCCTTTTCAATCTAGTATATTCTACTTTCTACTATGTTTGAAGAAGGGAACTTCGATGGCAAGGAAAACATGCTCATTTTGCTCACCATCCCAGGGGAAGTGGCACTCTGAGACTCTGCTATGTTTGGAATTTCTTTCCCTCATCAATTCATCAGAATAGATTTCCTAGCATGGCAGTGACACTGCTTGCATTTCCTCAGCAAATTTATCAGCTCCTGACATTATAAATCTGAATTTAGATATTTTTAGATGGACTGGGAAGAGAACAGTTCTTCTGAGACCTCAGTGTCAATGCTGCTGTATGAATCAGCCCAGCAAGGGGATGGAGAACTGCAATCTCAGCCATTGACTTTTTTTTTCCCTAGAGGAGGGATCACCTCTTTGGCTCACTGCCAGAAATGCTTTGTAGGTTGTTCCAACTCACGGGGCTGGAGCAGGGCTCTGCCTCCATTTGTCAATGCAACATATCATGCAGCTGAACCACCCCACTGACTTTTCCCTCACTGGTGATTGCTCAGGTGGAAAGAAAATCCTCTAAAGGGAAGAGAATGAGGCCTCAAAGAGTGGGTACCCAAACTCAAAGCATGGATAAAGGGCACAAGGTAAACATGCATCTCCAGAGAGAACAGTCAACCTCAAAGGCTTTTCAACCTGGAACTCTTTTATTTTTAGAACTATTTTCCCAACTTTCCCAATGAACAGAAAAACAGGAACTACAATATTCTCACACAGTCCTTCCAACCTAACAAATGAGCGAAATATGACCATGAAGTTAATAAGAGGATTAACTGTCACCGAATGTAATGCACCGCATTATCCTAATCACTGTTATTTTCCATTACTTAGATGTGAGGCAGTTTCAATACAAGTCAGTTTGGAAAGTGATTTTCACAGTGTCCTCTCTTTATATTTCTGTTGTTTTTCTCAGCTATTAAAACACCATACTGACACTGGGGAGGCCAAAATGCCCAAGGCTGATGAATGCAAGTTTGCAAAATCAGTAAAAACACAGCTTGCTTTTGTTGTCTCTGGAGTCATCCCTGACATGGAAGGCATATGGCATACAGATAGAAAACATATTATGTAATTTAGGGTTTAGCTTACACAGGATGATAGAGATTAATCTCAGTTAATCAGAGAGCCTAGACAGCCAAGAAAAAAACAAAGCCTTAAACCTCAGAACAATACAGAATATTAGAGAAGCCGACTAGTTGACTGTAGCTTAACTTGGCTTATTCAGAAGTAAGGAGAGGCTAGAGGGAGACTCTTATTGAACTGTTCCAGCTGCTGCTCAAACTATCTGGTGCTCACCTGTTTGTTTGACTAGTGTCTGGAGAGAAATGGCTGAAGAAAGCTGTTTCTTTGTCAACTTAATCTAGGAAAGATTCCTCTTTTCAGTTTTATTCCCATCTCCACCCTTAAATTTCCCAAACAATATGATTTACTGTCTCCAAAAGACTTCACAGAACATGAGGTAAAAGGCTACTTAAAAAGAAATGGAAATTTTTAAAAGATAGCTTCAAACAACCCGATTACACTAACAGGCATTTGTAACTCTTAATTCTTTGTCTGTATTTTCCACTGGACACACTTATCTTTTAAATTCATCCTTCTTGTCTTCAGTTCAGACTGTCCCTGTTCTATCTTGGGTCTTGCCTAGAGTATTACATGTCCCCTAGTGATTCAGTGTGTCTCTTTATTTTCCCCATTCCAAACCTTTCTTCATACACTAAACATGTATTAAGCACCACCTAAGGGGTGACAGCAGGGTGGCAGTGGATAGAAGGAAAAAGTGGGAAAATCTGGAACGGTGGGAAGATAAAATAGCCAAGACATGCTAATGGATGGTATAAGCTTTGTGTTTTAGGATAAATGAGGAATCATAGATGACTTCTAGTTTTCTTGAGCAACTGGATTGATGATGGACAAGACTGGAGGAAAAACAAATTTGCAGATGGAAAACAAGAGTTCCCATTTGTAAGAACTACGTTTGGGATACTGAGAGATATCCAGGGTATTTTATGCACTTCGAGTCTATAGGCTTCATGAGACTGCCAATAATGTACGTGGTACCAACAATGTTTAAAATCCCCTACACAGGGCAGAATCCAGGGGCAAGAGAAGATGACCCAGAACCGAAACTAAAATGCTCCAGTAATGAGAAATTAGGCAGAGGAAGAGGTGCTATCAAATGGAGATAAGCAGCTCATGATTCCAGAGGAAACACAGGAATATGTGGTACAAGAAACCAAGAGAAGATACTGTTTCCAGAAGGAAGTGGTTAATTGTGGGAAAAGGTGGTGAGCAATCCAGTGAAACAAAAATACTGTATTGGACATGTGGAGGAATTGATGACCCTGTTTAATTTTCATTTTGATGGCAGTGGCAGAAGCCTAACTGAATGGGTTGAGAAACAAATGGGAGGTAAAGAAGTAGAGATGATAAAGGCAGACAAGTTTTTCCTAGAAGATTAGCTGAGAGGGGGCAAAAGACAGCGAGAGGGGAATATGGGATTTGGGAAGGATTTTGTTAACATGGAAAGTTAATTAATGCATCTAAGTCACAGTTTCTTCATCTGCAAAATAGGTATAATAAGACCTAATTCATGAATTTGTTAGGATTAAATAACATGTGTGAAGTGCTTAGCACACTGCCTGACACAGTAACTACTCAAAATACATTAGCTATTATGATTATCATCATCTTTGATAAAACTTTTTTAGATCTATATAATGATCCTTACCATATACCAATATAGTTTTTTTGTGTCATCCTTCTTAATTGGAAAACATAATAATCATTTAACAAATACATTTCGTTTGAATTGAATGGCAATTGAATTGAATTAAATCAAGACAGGTAAAAAATATACACAGCGCATTCTAATAGCCAGAAGAGTCCTCTGAATTAACCAGGAGAGGCCAAGTCCTCTCAAGACTCTTGGTTCAAGTCTGACCTTGTCTCAGGTTGGCCACCCATGGCACATCCTGTTGGGGGCAGGGGAAAGGCTTCTCGTGGCATGAATCACCTACAGGCTGCCAAGTCGCCTCTTATTTAGATTTATGAATGTCATATTCTTTATTGACTCTCACAAGAGTTCCTAATCAGAAAGATTCCAAACAGGTTTCAGCCATCTCATTAGGACACAGGAAATCGGATAAAGAGGATAACCTCTGAAATCCTCCCTTAGTCATTGATCTTTGGGAAATTAGCTCTCTATGGCTTAGATCACTCTGAAGATTATAAACATGTCCAGTAAATATAACCTCCATCTAAACCAGCCCAGCAATTTCAACAGCATTTGGCAGGAGAGAAAATGCCTGCCAAGATCCAAGCAGCTGTAGCAGGTGCTGTAAATCAATGCAGGATACTTACATGGTTCTGTATTCCACTGGGGCTCAAAGCCTTCCAAGTAGATTATCTGCATAGATTTCAGGGTGGCAAAGTGGCATTATGAACACACAACTCCCCTATCCATTTTCCTTCCATTTACCTGGATGTCAGAGTTGTTGAGCAAGAAAACTACATTGTTCAACAAGGAAAAGCTCTATAGCTAAAGTGCAAGGTGCATTTCAATAAAAACAGTACTCAAGAAAAATGAAAATGCTAACAAAAGGAAAGAAAAGAAAATGAAAATATATGATGCTTTGGTAAATAACTTTTATTTATAGATATATATGTTATACATACACATATATACATATGTGCATATGTGTGTATATGTGCATGCGCACACACACATTCCAGTTGTTAAATCTTCTACACCTTTATAAATATATATAGTAATTTAAGTCAAAGAATTAAAGCATTCAAAACATTCCTTGATAAGTAGTAGTTTTTTTTTTTTTTTTTTTTTTTTTTTTGAGATGGAGTCTCACTCTGTAGCCCAAGCTGGAGCGCAGTGGCATGATCTTGGCTCACTGCAACTTTGCCTCTTGGGCTCAAGTGATTCTCCTGCCTCAGCATCCCAAGTAGCTGGGACTACAGGAATGCACCACCACACCCAGTTAATTTTTTTGTATTTTTACTAGAGACGGGGTTTCACCATGTTGCCCTGGGTGGTCTTGAACTCTTGAGCTCAGACGATCCACCTGCCTTGGCCTCCTAAAATGCTGGGATTACAGGCATGAGCCACCATGCCCAGCCATTAAGTGGTATTTCTACGTTTGCATGGCATGTGACTAAATTGATCAATATTCAATATCATGAAGGTGTGTGTTTGCATAATGTTGACCGGATCTAATAGGCAAACAAAGGGATATGTGAACAGAGTTCAAATGTATTTTAAAGATATTACAAAGAATACCTGGCCCAGAGTAATACTGCTTCTTCTCCATGATTCTTTCTAGATTCAGTAATAAATAATAATAATAATAATGACAATAACAAAAACAACATAGCTGAAGACTGGGAAGAAAATCAACAGCATAGCTAAAGATTGGAAGAGAAGGTTACATATTAAATTATATCCATTCTTTTTTTTTTTTTTTTTTTTTTTTTTGAGACGGAGTCTCACTCTGTCGCCCAGGCCGGACTGCGGACTGCAGTGGCGCAATCTCAGCTCACTGCAAGCTCCGCTTCCCGGGTTCACGCCATTCTCCTGCCTCAGCCTCCCGAGTAGCTGGGACTACAGGCGCCCGCCACCGCGCCCGGCTAATTTTTTGTATTTTTAGTAGAGACGGGGTTTCACCTTGTTAGCCAGGATGGTCTCGATCTCCTGACCTCATGATCCACCCGCCTCGGCCTCCCAAAGGGCTGGGATTACAGGCGTGAGCCACCGCGCCCGGCCATATCCATTCTTTTCTAAGTAAAAACACAAAGTACTGTTTGAATTTAGTAGGCAATCACAGAAGTATGAGTTAGATCCATATTTGTTCTATGTGCAGAGAAACAATATGGCATGGAGGAACCACATTAGTATCAATCTCAAATCTATCTTTTATAGGTATCTTATCCTCTTCATTTAAATGACAAAGAAATCGTGGCTTCCATGTACATTTAGGCAGGCTCTGCCACACACAAAGATATCTGGCCTAGAAGGTCAGTGGGTCCTTAGATGCAGCCTGTGCTCTATTCTCAGGCACAGGCAGTATCCTCCTGGAGGGGACACCATTTTCTAATCCTCATGACAGCCGCCATAGGCTAGTGTCACACCTGAAAATAAGTGCCATTCAGGGTTGGTGTAATCATAAAGAGTGATATACATCACATCTTATCACAGTGCCAAGTGCATCACAGATATTCTCTAAGTACAGCTATGGTTCTTATTCAGTTTAAAAAATCTAATCCTTTGATTTTTCAATATAAGTTAGATATAAATCTTCATTGTTCAAAACCAGAGACAACTTCTTTCTATCTTTTTGGATAGAAAGTTCACTGTTAGCGCCTTGCAGGAAAATCCCCATGCATGATCTTCCATACACATTATGGTGTTTTTCCAAGAAGAGCCATAGAGATTCTGAGTCTATCTCTTCTCATCGTACTCTCTTCCTATCATCTATAGTACAGGTTTTAAAACAGTAATAAATTGAGGAGAAATCAGAATGGGCACACACATTGTTACATATAGCTTCTGCAATCTAGAAGATAATGAAAACTGTCAATAAAACTGGGATTTAATAAAGGAAAAATGCTGTCAGACAAATGATGAATTGTTTAGGCAATTATAAAGCTGTGCAAGAAAATCACACATTATGAGTGCAGTTACTCAGATATGACAACAGGGTGCTTATGGAGGGAAGTGAATGAAACACTAGGCAAAAAACCAAAAAGGTAAAATAAAACAATGGCGATCGAGTTGTGGGGGCAGCCCAGAGAAATTCCACAGATGTCTGCAGAAGGTCTTCTCTTCTGTTTATTCATCTTTATTAATGATCTTCAGAACATAGTAAATGGTGTGCTAATGAAATCTGCAGATGATAGTCAGCTGGAGAATGTTGCAAAACATCAGCAAGGACAGAGAAATAATGCAGATGGTCTGAGAGGAGTTACAGATCTTGGGATCAAATAACAAGATGAGAGTCAGGTTGGGAAAGGGCCAGCTTATTCACCAGGGGAAAATGAATGAAAACACAGATATGCACAGGAAGAAAAAAGCCTGGAAAAGAAGTCTTCTGAGAAGGACCTGTCGAAAGGGAGCTGCGGCTAGACAGCAGTTACCATCCAGGTGAGTTTGTGCTGCAAATGGCAGTCCTAGTGGAAGTCTTATTTTCAATCCCAAATCTAACTTTTACAGGCTCCGAACTGCAGATGGCAAGACATCACAGTAAAAAGGGGCGCACATATTTATCTCTACTCAATTCTCAAGTGGCTGCACCTGGAATACTGTTTTTGGTGTAGGGAAATCTCTACCAGAAAATCTGGAACAAATTCAGAGTATAACAGCAAAAATATAAGTAACAGGAAGCCTGTTATAACAGAAGATTAGAAGAGCAAAGTATGGATGACTTGGCGAAAGGACTCAGAAGAAAGCCTAGTGACAGTCGATAAACTCTGAAAATAAAGAAAACTATGATGGCAAAAGTCAAAGCATCAGAGTGAAAAAGAACATACTAAGTTAAAAAGAGAATTCAGCCTGCATAGTATGGAAAATATCCAAACATATCAACTAGGGAAACAGTATCAGAAATTGTTATGGGGAATCCACAGGGTCATGTTCAAATATTACTCAGAGTAAGAAGCTTAGAATGATAAAGAGCATTTACTCGAAGGCAAAAAGGGCCTCAGGGAATGTTATGTAATCCATCCCTCTGTCTCTGAACAGGAATACATGTAAATCATTCCTGGAAAATTATAAGGCACACTATTTCAAAAGAATTCAAGATAAGGAGCACATTGGAAGAGAACTGAGTACTACGGAAGTTTTGATAAGTTAACTGTCTACTTGACACATTGGGAAATGCGGTTGATGATTTGACTCCAAATCACTCTGTGATGCAAAAGCATTCAATTAAACACTACATACAGCTGGTTCCCTACAGAAAGAATACTATTCAAAATACATACCTACTGCGTAAATTGCTTTGTTGATCCACTAATTGCATGCGGATTACTGAGTCCTTACATCAGTTCATTAATCACTCAGTATAACATTATTACTTGCTCTCTTCGGAAAGGATGAGAGTGTATCAGGTGTATGTTTACATGTTTAGGATCTGTGAAATACAAGGCTGAAGTTAATAAACACTTGCATCTCTTTTGTTTTATTATGCTCTAGTATAAGAATTATGGTGGTACAAATTAGTTAGAACAAGCAAGAGCCCTGAAATGGAGAAAGAAGTTATGAGACAGAGTTTTTGTTCTACCTGCAGCACTAACTTGGAAAGTTAAGAGCTAGAGCCAGAAGGTCTAGAGTTGAATCCCAGCACTGTCTCTTACTAGCTGTGTGCCCTCAGCAAGCCACTTCTCTGCATATCGTTCTTTTCATTTGTAAAATGATGACAATAATAGTATGTATTCCATATGACCTTTGAGATGACAACACGAGTGATTCATACAAAAATGTTAAAGCTGTCTGACACATAGTATACACTCAATATCACTGTAGTTTCCATTTTACAAACTTTCCTTCTTTGAAAATGAAAGGGTTAGACAAGATCTATCTAGACCTTTAATTCTGTGTTCATGGTTATTCTGCGAACTCAGAGCTTCTGACTAGGCTAAAGAGACAGAATTAGCACATATAAAAGAAAAAGGAGAAAAAGTAAATGTCATTCTATGTAGTGCTAATCATACATGACAAATAAGGAAAGAGATAAAGAAATCAATGTTAATTACAGTAGTTCCAGAAAGCCTGTGGAGCTGCAACTGAAGAATGTGTACCATTTTGATAAACAAGTAATAGTCATAAGAATATCTTAGGCCACAGATTGGTATAAACAGCCACCTCACAAAATGTGAGAGGATTGAAATCAAACTGTGAGAAAAACAAGGTAGGCACAGTATGCGAACTTGTTGTTGGGGACCATAAGAAATCTTTGTAGCTTCCCTGTGGATGTCTTTTTATGAAGGTTCTAACCCAATTGTTCATTCCCTCTTCTTACATTTAGCCAGAAAAATGGCTACATATTTTCATGGAATCTAGTTAGCTGAACAAATTACTTGATTCTGTTTATCCACAGTATTAAAAGGGTGAACAAGGTAACCTGTATACCTATCACCACCATCACATTGCCCCTTTCTTCACTGTTTCACTCACTAAGTTTATTTATGTTGCTTCCTCGTGCAATACCTTTGGTTCATTCATTCAATTTATTTATTTATTTATTTATTTATTTCAATAGGTTTTTGGGGAACAGGGGGTGATTGGTTACATGAGTAAGTTTTTTAGTAGTGATTTCTGAAATTTTGGTGCAGCCATCACCAGAGCAGTGTACACTGTACCCAGTGAATATTCTCTTATCCTTCGCCAGTCCCCAAACTTTCCCTGCAAGTCCCCGAAGTCCAATGTATCATTCTTATGCCTTTGGATCTTCATAGCTTAGCTCCCACATATGAGTGAGAACATACAACGTTTGGTTTTCCATTCCTGAGTTACTTCAATTAGAATAATAATCTCCAATTCCATCCAGGTTGCTACAAATGTCATTATTTTGTTGCTTTTATGGCTAAGTAGTATTCCATGGCGTGTGTGTACATATAAATATTTTTGTCATATCTTCTTTATCCACTGGTTGATTGATGGGCATTTGGGCTGGTTCCATATTTTTGCAACAGTGAATTGTGCTGCTATACAGGTATATGTGCAAGTATCTTTTTTGTATAATGACTTCCTCTGGGTAGATACCTAGTAGTGGGATTGCTGGATCAAATGGTAGATCTACTTTTAGTTTCCATAATGGTTGTACTAGTCCATTCCCACCAACAGTGTAAAAGTGTTCCCTTTTCATTGCATCCACGCCAACAACTATTTTTTGTTGGTTTTTTTTTTTCTTTTTATTATGGTCATTCTTGAGGAAGTAAGGTGGTATCACATAGTGGTTTTGATTTGTATTTCCCTGATAATTAGTGATGTTGAGCATTTTTCCATATGCTTGTTGGCCATTTGTATGTCTTCTTTTGAGAATTGTCTATTCATGTCTTTAGCCCACTTTTTGATGAGATTGTTTGTCTTTATCTTGCTAATTTGCTTCAATTCTTTGTAGATTCTGGATATTAGTCCTTTGTCAGATGTATAGATTGTGAAGATTTTCTCCTACTCTGTGGATTGTCTGTTAACTCTGCTGATTATTTTTTTTGCTGTGCAGAAACTTTTTAGTTTCATTAGTTCCCATCTATTTCTCTTTGTTTTTGTTGCATTTACTTTTGGGTTCTTGGTCATTTAAGTCTTTGCCTAAGTCAATGTCTAGAAGGGTTTTTCTGATGTTATCTTCTAAAATCTTTATGGTTTCACATCTTAGATTTAAGTATATGATCCATCTTGAGTTGATTTTTGCATAGGATAAGAGATGAAGATCCAGTTTCATTCCTCTACATGTGGCTTGCCAATGATCTCAGCACCATTTGTTGAATAGGGTGTCCTTTCCCCACTTTGTTTTTGTTTGCTTTGGTGAATATCAGTGGGCTGTAAGTATTTGGGTTTATTTCTGGGTTCTCTATTCTGTTCCATTGGTCTATGCACCTATTTTTATACCAGTACCATGCTGTTTTGGTGACTATTGCCTTATAATATAGTTTCATGTTAGATAATGTGATGCCTTCAGATTTGTTCTTTGGCTTAGTCTTGCTTTGTCTATGCAGGCTCTTTTTTTGTTCCATATGAATTTTAGGATTGTTTTGTCTAGTTATGTGAAGAGTGATGATGGTATTTTGAAGGGAATTGCATTGAATATGTAGATTGCTTTTGGCAGTATGGTCATTTTCACAATATTAATTCACCCATCCATGAGCATGGGATGTGTTTCCATTTGTTTGTGTTGTCTATGATTTCTTTCAGCAGTGTTTTGTAGTTTTCCTTGTAGAGGTCTTTCACATCCTTGTTTAGGTATATTCCTATGTATTTTATTTTTTTGCTGATATTGTGAAAGGGGTTGAGTTCTTGATTTGATTCTCAGCTTGGTTGCTGTTAGTGTATAGCAGAGCTACTAATTTTTTACATTAATTTTGTATCCTGAAACTTTGCTGAATTCATTTACCAGTTCTAGGAGCTTTTTGGTGGAAACTTTAGGGTTTCTAGGTATACCATCATATCATCTGCAAACAGCAACAATTTGATGTCTTCTTTACCATTTTGGATGCTCTTAATTTCTTTGTCTTGTCTGATTGCTCTGGCTAAGATTCCTGGTACGATGTTGAATAGAAGTGGTGAAAGTGGGCATCCTTGTTCCAGTTCTTAGTGGGAATGCTTTCCACTTTTCCCTCTTCAGTATAAAGTTGGCTGTGGGCTTGCCATAGATGGTTTTTATTACCTTAAGGTATGACCCTTCTATGCAGATTTTGCTGAGGTTTTTAGTCACAAAGGGAGATTGGATTTTGTCAAATGGTTTTTCTGTGTCTATTGAGACAATCATGTGATTTCTGGTTGTAATTCTGTTTAAGTGGTGTATCACATTTATTGACTTGCCTATGTTAAACCATCCCTGCATCCCTAGTGTGAAACCTACTTGATCATGGTGGATTATCTTTTTGATATACTGTTGGATTCAATTCACTAGGATTTTATTGAGGATTTTTGCATCTATGTTCATCAGGGATACTGACTGTAGTTTTCGTTTTTTGTTATGTCCTCTGGCTTTGGCATTAGGGTGATACTGGCTTTGTAGATTGATTTAGAGAGTATTCCTTCTTTCTCTATCATTTGGAAGATTTTCAGTAGGATTGGTACCAATTCTTCTTTGAATGTCTGATAGAATTCAGCTGTGAATCCATCTGGTCCTGGACTTTTTTTGTTGTTGGCAATTTTTTTATTACCATTTCAATCTTGCAGGTTGTTATTGGTCTGTTGAGAGGTTCTATATCTTCCTGGTTTAACCTAGGAGGGTTGTATATTTCCAGGAATTTATCCATCTCCCCTAGGTTTTCTAGTTTATGTGTGTAAAGGTGTTCATAGTAGCCTTGAATAATCTTTTGTATTTTTATGGTATTGGCTGTAGTATCTCCCATTTCATTTCTAATTACGATTATTTGGATGTTCTCTCTTCTTTTCTTGGTTAATCTCACTAATGGTATATCAATTTCATTCACATTTTCAAAGAAACAGCTTTTTATTTATTTTCTGTATTGTTTTTGTTTGTTTCAATTTCATTTAGTTCTGCTCTGATCCTCGTTATTTCTTTTCTTCTGCCGGGTTTCAGTTTGGTTTGTTCTTTTTTCTCTAGTTCCATGAAGTGTGACCTTAGATTGTCTATTTGTGCTCTTTCAGACTTTTTGATGTAAGCATTTAATGCTATGAACTTTCCCCTTAGCACCATTTTTTGCTGTATCTCAGTGGTTTTGATAGGCTGTGTCACTATTATCACTCAGTTTAAATAATTTTTTAATTTCCATCTTGATTTCCTTGTTGACTCAATGATCATTCAGGAGCAAGTTATTTAATTTGCATGTATTTGTATGGTTTGGGGATGCCTTTAGGAGTTGATTTGCAATTTTATTCCACTGTAGTCTGAGAGAGTACTTGATGTAATTTCAATGTTCTTAAATTTGCTCAGACTTGTTTTGTGGCCTATCATATGGTCTATCTTGGACAATGTTCCATGTGCTGATGAGTAGAATGTATACTCTGCAGTTGTTGGGTAGAATGTTCTATAAATATCTGTTAAGTTCATTTGTTGCAGGCTAGAGTTTGTTGACTTTCTGTCTTGATGACCAGTTTAGTGCTGTCAGGGGAGTACTGAAGTCCCCCACTACTATTGTGTTGCTGTCTATCTCATTTCTTAGGTCTAGTAGTGATTATTTTATAAATTTGGGTGCTCCAGTGTTAGGTGCTTATATATTTAGAATTGCGGTATTTTCCTGCCAGACTAATCCCTTTAACATTATATAATGAACATATTTGTCTTTTTAAACTGCTGTTGCTGTAAATTTTGTTTATTCTGATATAAGAATAGCTATTCCTGCTTTTGATGCCCATTTGCATAAAATATCTTTTTTACCCCTTTATCTTAAGTTGATGTGAGTCCTTATGTGTTAGATGAGTCTCCTGAAAAACAGAAGAAAACTTGGTTGGTGAATGCTTATTCATTCTGCCATTCTGTATCTTTTAAGAGGTGCATTTAGGCTATTTACATTCAATGTTAGTATTGAGATGTGAGATACTACTCTATTCATCATGCTATTTGTTGCCTGAATAAGTTGGGTTTTTTTTTTTCATTGTGTTATTATTATATAGGTACTGTGAGATTTATGCTTTAAGGAGGTTCTATTTTGGTGTATTTTGAGTATTGGTTTCAGGATTTAGAGCTCCTTTCAGCAGTTCTTGTAGTGCTGGCTTGGTAATGGTGAATTCTCTCATCATTTGTGTGCCTGGTAGACACTGTATCTTTCCTTCATTTACGAAGCTTAGTTTTGCTGAATACAAAATTCTTGGCTAATAATTGTTTTGTTTAAAGAGGCTAAGAATAGGACCCCAATCTCTTCTAACTTGTAGGGTTTCTGCTTAGAAATCTGTTAACCTGATAGATATTTCTTCATAGGTTACCTGACGCTTTTGCCTCAGAGCTCTTAAGATTCTTTCCTTCATCTTGACTTTAGATAACCTGATGACTGTGTGCCAAGCCAATGATCTTTTTGCGATGAGTTTCCCAGGTGTTCTTTGAGCTTCTTGTATTTGAATGTCTAGATCTTTAGCAAGGCCGGGGATATCTTCCTCAATTATTCCCTCAAATATGCTTTCCAAACTTTTAGATTTCTCTTCTTCCTCGGGAACACTAGTTATTCTTAGGTTGGGACATTTAACATAGTCCCAAACTTCTTGGAGCCTTTGTTCATTTTTTTAAAATTCTTTTCTCTTTGTCTTTGATGGACTGAGTTAATTCAAATGCCTTGTCTTCGAGCTCAGAAGTTCTTTCTTCTGCCTGTTTGATTCTATGGCTGAGACTTTCCAGTGCATTTTGCATTTCTCTAAGTGTGTCCTTGATTTCCAGAAGTTGCAATTGTTTTTTATTTATGCTCTTTATTTCACTGAAGATTTTTCCTTTCATATCCTGTATCACGTTTTCAACTTCTTTAAGTTGGACTTCACCTTTTTCTGGTGCCTCCTTGATGAGCTTAATAACCAACCTTCCAATTTTTCTTTTTTCTGGCAATTCAGATTTCATCTTGGTTTGGATCCATTGCTGGTGAGCTGGTATGATTTTTGGGGGGTGTTAAATAACCTTATTTTGTCATACTACCAGAATTGTTTTTCTGGTCCCATCTCATTCAGGTAGACTATGTCAGAGGGAAGATCTGGGATTCAAGAACTGCTGTTCAGATTCTTTTGTCCCATGAGGTGCCCCCTTGATGTGGTGTTCTCCCCCTTCTCCTAGGAATGGGGCTTTCTGAGAGATGAATTGTAGGGATTGTTTTTGCTCTTCTGGGTCTAGCCACCCAGTGGAGCTACTGGGCTCTGGGCTTGTACTGGGGAATATCTGCAGAGTCCTATGATGCGATCCCTCTTCAGGTCTTGCAGCTGTGCATACTAGTACCTACTCTGGTGGAGGTAGCAGGGGAGTGAAGTGGACTCTGTGAGGTCCTTGGTTGTGTTTTTGTTTAATGCACTGGTTTTGGTTTAGCCTCCAGCCAGGAGGTGTCATTTTCAAGAGTGCATCAGCTGTGGTCCTATAGACAGGTTGCAAACTTGCCCTAGGGACATCTGGTTGAGTATTAAGGTTTCTTAGGCAGTGGACAGGGCCATAGACCTCCCAAGAGATTATGAACTTTGTCTTCAGCTACCAGGGCTGATAGAGAAAGACCACCAGGTGGAGGCAGGGATAGGTGTGTCTGAGTTCAGCCTCTCTTTTGGCAGGGCTTGCTGTGGCTGCTGTGGGGGATGGGGATGTGGTTCCCAGTCTAATGAAGTTGTATTCCCAGGGGGATTATGGCTGCCACTGTTGAGTCATACAGGATACCAGAGAAGTGGGGGAAAGCCAGCAATCACAGGCCTCACCCCACTCCCATGCAGCCTGCAGTCCTAAAGGCCGGTCTCACTCCCACCATCCCCTACCAACAGCACTGAGTCTATTTCCAGGCAGCAGATGATCAGGGCTGAGAAATTGCCCCATACCATGAGCATCCCCATTGAGAAAGCAAGCAGACTCACAGTTTTTCGACATCTCAGGGAGTCTGCAAAGATGATCCAGTTCCCTCAAAGGGTCTGTGGATTCTCTCCCATTTTTTAAATTCAAATAAAATTATTTTCTGTCTAGTGTTTCTTACCTTTACCTCTGAGATTTTGCAAGTCATCCCTAATACTTAAAATCTTTTATTATTTATTTTTATCTTTTATTTATTCTGAAACCTAAAATATCTTTTTCTTTTTCCCCTTAAACATTATTTAAAATGTTATACTTTCTATTAAGTCTTCTCTAGCTAACACCTTTCAACACTGTTTAATTCAACCAAAAGAGCAAAGTGCTCATCATTTATTTACATGTTTTTATTCAAGCCCATTTTCTTTTTTTCTTCCAATAGAAAAGGTATGTTGACAAGATGTGTTGGAACTGGTGACAAATGGTGCAGTTCAGTCAGATGGCAACACAGGATGTTACTGAAAGAAGAGAGAAGGCTGACTCTGGGAGGGGTTGTAGAAGCTTATATAAGTTTATGTATGAGATGTTGGCAATGAAAAATTATTTGAAAATGACTGACCACAACCTCTGAGTAAGAAGTCTTCCCAATGCTTTTTTTACTTTTAAAAGTCATTTAAACACAAATCTTAAATTTATCTTACATATGTAATCTGTAAAATGCTTAACATAAAAGGTAAGCTTTGCTGACTATATTTACTTGGCTATAAGAGCAATTGCACCAGATTAAAGTTCTTATGACATGCATTTCAATTCACAGATACAATGATTTGTTTTGGTTGTATGTGCTTATTTGTATTTATCCAACAGCCTGAAGGGATAATAGAGTATCTTGTTGTACTCTGTACGTGATGAACACCACGAAAATAGCAAGGATGACTAGTCTAATCCTAAAATGCATTATTACTCAGGCCTCAAATTTGGAGTCCATTTATCTGGGCTATTCTTTCGGGCATTAAAATAAAGTGAGTGAGTTTTGTATTTAAGAAAACTTTTCTGAGGTGGAAATTATGTAAATCAGAAATGTAATACCAGGTTGTACACATTTGGTCATTTTTTTGGATGTGTTGTTTTGTTCTCCCTAAACAAGGGCAATAGTTTAAATGCAAAATTCCTAAGTGAATTGAAAAGGGGAGACACTCAAGATTACTAGAAGTCATGGTGCTTACACAAGGAAATATAAAATGGAAAGGTTATATCTGATTATGTATAGCACTTTCTAAGAAACCCCCTAACTGCGAAATCATCAAATATTTTACAACAAAAAACTTATGAAATATGTATGACTGTCTTTCAAGGTTTAGCCCAGGAAAGAGTTTTATGTATTTTGTTAAGTAAACATTTATTGTACACCGCGATATACTTAATACTTAAATAGAAGTAGCCAAATAAAAATTTTAAAAGTTCTTTGCCATTGTCTTTTCCCTATAGAGGAAGATATTTTAGCATAACACTTCTTAAAAGCAATGAAATCTCTTGTGCATCTCCTGTATTGTTTCTGGACCCTTTTTTTGTGACCGTGACTGCTGCCTTTCCATCTTCTATTGGCCATTCTTTCCTCCTCTTCACCATTTCTCTGTGTTTCCTGCTCACTTACTCCTATCTGCTATTATGCTCTTCTCTCTTTGACTAGGCCATATTCTCCTCCTAAGCTCAAGAGCAGGTGGAAGCCTTCAAGGAGCTAAGCAAAATGTCTTAGGAAGCCTACTGTGAAACAATAGTCCAAGCCTCTCATGGAGCCTTACGGGGTAGATCAACATAGGAGAAAAACATCTAGAGCTCTAAAGTCAGCCAGAAATGTGTAGTCATGAAAAGACCAGGGATACTTGTGACCTAAAAGACCCCAGAAGATGCTGCTGTCTGGCCTCGAAGAGCTTCTTGGAGACAGAGTCACAGATAGGGAGTCTGGCCAGTGGAGCCAAATGGAGGTTCCACTCCTGCTTCTGCACTGCACTAGCTGTGATACTGGGTCAGTAATCCATGCTCTCTGAGGTTCAGTTTCTCACCTGTCAGATGGAAAACAATGAGAGGCTGACACAGTGGGTCACACCTGTAATCCCAACCTTTTGGGAGGCTGAGGCGGGAGGACCACTTGAACACAGGAGTTTGAGACCAGCCTGGGCAACATAAGGGGACCCTGTGTCTACAAAAAATAAAATATTAGGCTGGGTGTGGTAGCTCACACCTGTAATCCTAGTACTTTGGGAGGCTGAGGCGGGAGGACCACTTGAACACAGGAGTTTGAGACCAGCCTGGGCAAAATAGTGAGACCTCATTTCTACTAAAAATAATTTTTTAAAAATTAGCTGGGTGTGGTGGTGTGTGTCTGTGGTCCTAGCTACTTGGGAGGCTGAGGCAGGAGGATTACTTGAGCCCAGGAGGTTGAGGTTGCAGTGAGCTGAGATTGTACCTGAAGACTGAGGAAGACCCTATCTCAAAAAAACAAAAAAAATACAAAAAATAAAAACTTAGCTGGGCGTGGTGGCACACACCTGTGGTACTGGCTACTCAGGAGGCCGAGGCAGGAGGATTGCTTGAGCCCAGGAGTTCGAGGCTGCAGTCAGCTGTATCATACCACTGCACTCCAGCCTGGGTGGGGTGACAGAGCAATACCCTGACTCTATTAAAACAAAAACAAAAGCAAAAACTGTGCTACCTTGTCAAGATATTTTCATTCAATTCTGAAAGCATATTCTGAGTCTCTACATGTGCCAGGCAGCATTTTAAGTGCTTAGTATGTCAGTGAACAAAATTAATAATGACTTTTGCCATCATGAAATTTAACATTCTGGAATTAATTGAGAAAAAAATAGATAGGTAGGTAGATAAGTAGATAGATAGAAAGATAGAGTTGAGACCCTGAAACACAAAAAAAGTTTCATTAAATAGTAGCTATCAGTCAATATATGTGTAATTTATCCATAGAAGTAAAATGTGGGTACCCTTTCCGTGGATAATAACAAACATTTTGGAGGTACAAAAGCCAATGTCTATGACAGTAAAATTTGTATAGTAGAAAGTAATCCCAGCTACTTGGGAGGCTGAGGCAGGGGAATCGCTTGAACCCGGGAGGTAGAGGTTGCAGTGAGCCAAGATTGCACCATTGCACTCTAGCCTGGGTAACAAGAGTGAGACTCCAACTAAAAAAAAAAAAAAAAAAAAAAAGAGAGCGAATAAAGGGGTGTGTGTATGTGTGTGTAGGGGGAGAAAGATATATATATGTATATATACACACACATATATATGTATATATACACACACATATATATACACACATGTACACATATATATCACATCTATGAATATTTGTAATAAGCTCCTTTCTCATTAGCAAGTGTACGTAAGCCACATGGAGGCAGGGAACAGACTTCAACTTTGCAACTTATTCAACATATACATCAAAAAAGTTTACTAAAATTTTAATGCCCCAGACTAAGGTGGTTCTCAGCTTTTAGATGTATTTATATATGCACACACATGAAGGTACCCACACACATATGCACATGATTTATAAAAGTACGTATATGTGAATAGGTTTCTGGTTGCAGCAACTATAGTTCTCTTTGTAGTTCTGAAGTCTTTGGTATCTTATAAAATATAAATGAAATGTATTCTAGTGATCAGGCTTAGCTGCATGCACTCAGGCACTGCATTTTTTCCATCACAGGTGTTTTGAGGCCTCCTATTCTGGTTGGTATTATAAAATAAAATCTAGGAATATTCAATGTTACTATTGACTACAAGTGTATTTTAGGTAGTAATAACTGGTAACTTACAGAGACAGAAGCTATATGTAAATTGAATCTTAAAACTTCATTAATATTTAGACCAGTTGTATCAATTATAAAAAATAAGACTTATTCTAGTGAAGTATTTAAGAGCACAGAGAGTGGAATCAGATGATTTTGTTCTGAATCTTAGTTCCTAGACTTTCTAGCTTTCTGATCTTAATGTATATTCTCTCTCTGTGTCTCAGTTTCCTCATATTTAAAATGAAGATAATAGGCTGGGTGCAGTGGCTCACGCCTGTAATCCCAGCACTTTGGAAGGCTGAGGCGAGTGGATCACCTGAGGTCAGGGGTTCGAGACCAGCCTGGATAACATGATGAAACCCCATTTCTACTAAACATACAAAAAATTAGACAGGTGTGGTGGCACACGCCTGTAATCCCAGCTACTCGGGAGGCTGAGGCAGGAGAGTCACTTGAACCCAGGAGGCAGAGATTGCAGTGAGCCGAGATGGTGCCACTGCACTCCAACTTAGGCAAGAAGAGTGAAACTCTGTCTCAAAAAAAAAAAACGAGGATAATAATAATGACATCCATCAGGGTTATTGTGGGGACCAAATGAGTTAATATACATAAAGCATTATTGTGAGATTTATAAAAATGTTTTAATATTATTATCCTTTAAAAAACACGAGTAGATTGTCATAAAGCAGAAGCTAGACTATTGAATGGTCCTAGAAAATGAAGTTCTTTCTACAGTTAAGCCAATACTTGCTAGCTAAAATCTAAATTTAAAATTTTATATAACATTTTATAGGAAATCTGAATTACTTTTCAAACCACAAAATGATTTTGTAAATTCTTTGAGTAAAAGAAAAACAAAGTTCAAAATATGAGCTTATACATGAGATGCTCATGAATGCCTTACATTTGCATTAAAGGGAGCTCTTTGTCATAGAATCATATACTACACATAAACAAGTGATTCGGAATTATATGCAAGTGGGCACACACACATATACACACACTGTCCCATTAGCTACTTCAAAGCTAAGAAAATTCAGCACTCTGATTTTCAGAAAAATGCAAATCTCAGCCTAGCAATGAGAGCCTAGCATGATCTCACCCATGTGCTCTCCATGAGTCTTGTTTTATCTGAGCATACACTTTCATGTGAAAAGTGAGGATTTTAAGGGGGTAAAATACAAAATTTCTATAGAAAATATCATCTCAACATACTCATTTTTGATGAGCAGAACTTTTCAAGTTAAGACCAGAGAAAATACAAGACTAGTAAATGTCACTCCTGACGACTTTTAACAAGTGATCTCCAGAGGAAAATATCAAAGTAGGAATGTTTCAATCCTCCTAGGATTCTGAAATAAGGTGATCTCAAAGGAAAAGCACAAGAAGGATTCAACCAACTCCTTGCTTGATTCTATGCTTACATCATCTGAAAGCGTTGCTTCTCTTTTTGACAATATTGTCGGGTAGCTGATTCTATAAGATACATCGGATACTTGCCTGAAATTTGTACATCCAAGTATTCCTATACGGAAAATTTGCGAGATGAAAGGTAATGCAAGAGTCCAAAATCAAGGACTGCTCACAGCAAAATATGCCATTATTTACGAAGCATATTTCACCCAAAGTCCTGGAACCTATAATTTGTAACACATGCTGTAATTGGTAAGCTCTAATGAGCAGATGAAAAATTAGTTACCAAAAACCTTCCCTTAAAGTAGGCAAAAATTGAGTGGGTGGGGGGCTGTTGGGGGGAAAGGAGATGAGCCTTCCTTTTTAAGGACCTATTTGGGTTCATAACCCATCCAGCTGCAGGTGTAAATGCCACATCTCTTTGGATGATTGCTGAAGCCTTCCCTGACTCAGCACAATGACAGCTCTGGCAATTGCCTCCCTGTCTTCCAGCTTTGTTTTAGAGCAGTGCTCCTTCACATGAAACATTTACAGTACAGAGTCACTGAGAGCGAGCAAGTAGTTACAGCAAGAACCGCAGCTGTTCACAAGATCAACTGAGCAAATGGCAGAAGCAAGGCTGCCCTTGGACCCCACCATCAGAACAGCCCGAGTCTGCAGTAGGAAGAGAGCCCACATGTCCTCTGCACTGCCTTTCTGGGATAAGCTATTAGAAATCCTGGAGACACAAGAGGTTTAATCTTTCACAAGTTGGGGCACAGTATTATATTCTTTGACAATAAGGTATTTTCTTCATGTGTTTATTTTTTCAGACAATAATTATTAAGTACATAATACGTTCTAGACACCATGCTAAGCACTTTAGGACAATTATCACGCGTGTATTGCAGCAAAACGATAAGGTACTTATTCTTAGTTGTAATTATAATAATGATCACAAAAATTTTATAGGTTAGGAAATTGAGGCCCTGGTGAGTTCAAAAGCTTGCCCAAGGTCACACAGTTAGTAGGTGATGGGGCTAAAATTCACATCATGGTATGCTTGTTGTCCAAGCCTGGACCTTCATGGCATGCTTTCTCAGCCTTTTTTTAGTTCCTCTTTTTTGGGGGGAGTGTCATTTATTTATTTATTTATTTTGGGATCCCACCAAAAGAGAAGTATATGGTAGCAATCATCCAATTAAAAACAATCACCTCTTCTCACTTTGACCTAAGGTTTCGGTGAGAGGTCGGTGTACTCAATATATTAGGAGAGAGAAAGCAATAGTAGCCCATCACCCTATCAGAGGAGGGAAAAGAGGACTGTTTTTCACCATTCTCCAGGGAGGAAGTAGATGAGCAAAAGTCCGGTGGAAATAGCCTCTATCTGAATTGAATCCAAACTCTACAACATTGATGAGCATTTATAAAAACCTTACTTAAGACAGAGAAATGATACAAATCCTGAGAAACATAAGCAGGAACCAACAATTGAATTCAGCAGAAGGAAACATGAGCCTGTAACATCTGGAGAAACAATCTAATATTCAGATACGGCATTTGAAGCAAAAGAACATTTGGAAAAGAGCAATTGCTACAGATGATTCTTCATTCATATAGTGCAGTTCAAATTTTATAAAATTAGCCAGCAAGTTGCCCTAAAAAAGTCAGTGGTGGTTTCATGCTATCACTGCTATACACTAAAGAAAACATCAATTTCAGAAAAATTCAGGGAATTATAAAAGGTTACATAGCAAGTTGTCTTCAAAAAAATACAATTTCTAAATTGTTTTGTCTTAAATTATTAAAATAACCTTTTCCCCTCAACTAACATCCACCGATCCCAGACACTAATTAAAGGGTTGAGAAGAGCTAGCCATTTGTAGCTCTTCAATAAAGTTGTTTAGAAAGCAACAATTATGAAACAATCACCAAAGATGGTTAATCAAGGTAAACAAAGGAGAAAACAATGAACATAATAATTATTGTGATTTACTTTGCCAAATCATTGTATCACACATGGAATTCTAGTCAATGAAAAATTATCTGCTAGGTTCTAGAAACTGTACCACTTGCTGGAGTTTCTAGCCCCCATTAGAGCTCACAGCTATTAAAGTCAAAGGAATTTCCTTAATCAATAAATGATCTTTTAAACTTTTCAATAGATAATACATTTTAAAAGTTCAATACTTTTCATTGACTTTTAGCTCTTTCACCAGTTAACTCAAGCTACTTCTTACACTGTGAGTAGTAATGGCACTTCTTCTGCCTACGATATTATTCAGGACCTTCATGTCACTAATCATACTCAAAAGAATCCTGTTCACAGGCACCAACAGGCCAGGAACCTCCACTTGAACTCACTAGTTAATTTCTTAGTCTACACATCTGTCCTACTGACCTGGCAAGGAATCAGTCCCAGCCAGCTACAGAATGTCCAAGGCATACTGCCTGGAGAACAAGAAAGGGGCAGATCCTAGAGGAATTCTTTGCAGGGGAAGATGTAAACAATAAAATATTTATAGTCAGGTCAAAAGACAGGCTTGGGTTGTATGAGAAGCCTATCTTCCAAGACCTGACAAGCCAGTAAATAACAATGAGAAGATCAACAGGTAGGAGTACTGAAGGAATGATATATATATTGTAAGACAGAAATACAGTTTTTAGAAATGAGATTAAGAAGGGAATGAAATATAGTAAAGAAAAATTTAGTGTGTTATCAAAGGTAGTGAAAGGATAACAGGAAGTTATATGTCTTAGTTGGGCAATTTATAGCAATTAAAAATATTTTCAGCATAGAATGTTATTTATGAAACAAAATAATCCAACAATAAGAAAACAGTCAAATAAATATCCATCTTAAGGGAACAAGCACATATGCACCATTGCAAAATATTATATATATGTCATTACATAGACATGTGTGTGTATTATGTAAGAATATATATTATTTATACATATATATCATTAAAATAATGCTTATCAAGAGATAATCTATAAAATGTATACAATTTAAGTAAAAAATGTTAAAGCACTATTCAAAAATCCAAATTATAAATAAGTCCAATCATGTAGAAAAGTATATAAATGATCAGATGAAATTTGTAAAAGTTTAGCCAGGTTTATTAAGAGCTAGAACTACATCTGCCTCTTATTTTTCTATTTTTAAATAATGAATATTATTTGCATTATAATAAAATAACATGTTTTAACCTTAAAAAGGAAGGACAGTTCTTATAAATAAGAAAAGTCATAGTTCCATTTTAACAGCAGAATAAAATTAACTTCTGGTTGGGAACCTGTGTTTTATTTTCCAAGGACCTCAGTTCTCTACAACAATGTGATCATAGCTTGTCTCAGATCCAGAATCAAACTTGCATGGCTGTGGAGTAGGCAACAGCACTTTGTGATTTTTTTTATTTCAATAGCTTTAGGGATACAAGTGGCTTCTGGTTACAGAGATGAATTGTATGGTGGTGAAGCTTAGGATTTTAGTGTACCTATTACCCAAGTAGTGTACATTGTACCCAATGCATAGTTATTTCTCTCTCACCCTCACTCCCAGCCTCCCCGCTTCTTAGTCTCCAATGTCCGTTATACCACCCTGGATGCCTTTAAATACCTATAGCTCTCATTCATAAGTAAGAACATGTGTTATCTGATTTTTGATTCCTGAAATACTTTATTTAGAATAATGGCCTCTAGTTCTATCCAAATTGCTGCAAAAGATATTATTTCATTCTTTTTAAATGGCTGAATAGTATTTCATGGTGTGTGTGTGTGTGTGTGTGTATATATATATATAGTATTTCATGGTATACACACACACACATGCACGCACCACATTTTCTTTATCCACTCATCAGTAGATGGGCACTTAGGATGATTCTATACACATTCAGGTGTCTTTTTGATAAAGCAACTTCCTTCCCTTTGGGTAGATACCAAGTAGTGGGATTGTCGGATAGAATGGTTGATCTGTCTTTAGTTCTTTGAGAAATCCCCATATTGTTTTCCATAGAGATTGTACTAATTTACATTCCCACCAGCAGTGTATAAACATCTTTTTTTTTTTTTTTTTTTTTTTTTACCACATCCATGCCAAAATCTATGTTTTTTGACTTTTCACTAATCGCCATTCTGGCTGGGGGGTAAGGTGGTATGTCATTGTGATTTTAATTTGCATTTCCCTCATGATTAGTGATGGCCAACAGCACTTTCAAGTGGAACTTCAAAAATACCAAGAAAGACCCCCTTCACAGATATTCCTCTTCATTGGAGCCTAAAATACTATTTGGCTTTTTGTCACACAACCATATCCTGCTAACTCTACAAAGAGCACACCTTTTGCTATCATAATATAACATTAAAAAGGAGCTTTCATTATTTAGAGGAAATTTGCATAATAAAAACATACTGAGATAACAAGGTTTTTTTTTTTTTTTTAAATATACCTAATGCTGAATGACGAGTTAATGGGTGCACACACCAACATGGCACATGTATACAAATGTAACAAACCTGCACGTTGTGCACAGGTACCCTAAAACTTAAAGTATTATAATAATAATAATAATAAAATTTTTTAAAAAAAGAAATACTCAAGGGTTGAGATTATAGCAGGACAAATTCCTCAACTTTGGTTGAAAAGGAGGTGGAAGATTCACACTCTCAGATCTTTAAAAAAAAAAGTAGGCCGGGCGCGGTGGCTCACGCCTGTAATCCCAGCACTTTGGGAGGCCGAGGCGGGCGGATCACGAGGTCAGGAGATCGAGACCATCCCGGCTAAAACGGTGAAACCCCGTCTCTACTAAAAATACAAAAAATTAGCCGGGCGTAGTGGCGGGCGCCTGTAGTCCCAGCTACTTGGGAGGCTGAGGCAGGAGAATGGCGTGAACCCCGGAGGCGGAGCTTGCAGTGAGCCGAGATCCCGCCACTGCACTCCAGCCTGGGCGACAGAGCGAGACTCCGTCTCAAAAAAAAAAAAAAAAAAAAAAAAAAAGTAGTTTTCTCTGTTTCATTGTACAGTAAACTAAAATGTAATCATTGAAAAGGAAAAAAAAATTCAGATTTCTGGGCCCCATCCAAGAACTACTGATTCAGAATCTCTGGATTTATGCTCCTAGATGTTGCTGAATTATTTTTTATATATTAGAGAACAAGACAGTCTGTGGACTGGCTTTTGGGAACCACCCCTCTAAATGATGCCCATTCCAGGGATCAGAATTCATCTCAGCCACTTTACCTCTGTAACATTAGGTAAGCTACATGACTCCCCTAACTTTCAATTTTGTCATCTGTAAATGGGGATAATAATTGTCCCTACCTCATAGAGCTAATATGGAATAAAATATTCCATCTAAGTGTTTAGCACAGTGTCTGGCACATAACTACCCAATAAATGTTAATTTATTACTAAAAAAAATCAGAAAAATGCAGGATGGACAGTGAATTTTAAATCTCAAGTATGAAACATTTTAGAAGAGAGTGTGGAATGGGGCACCACCACATGAGGAGAGAGTGGTCAGGTTACTGGAAAAATAGTCTAGGTGCCCAGATACCAAGACCCAGAAAAGAGAGGATGTTGCTGAAAGCTAACAAGAAGTACAGTGATGAAGCCACATAGAAAGACACCAAAGATGAGAGTCTTCTTCTTGGCCATTTTCCCCAGAGTCTAAGCTTTTCTAACTTTAGCCTACTAAAACTAAAAGCCCTGGGGTTTTGACAGCTTGAAATCATGGTATGACACACTATTAGTACTCTCAAGACTTGCAGAATATTGGAGCTGAAAAGGGCCTGAGAGAACAATTTTTATCAAAATGTTTCATTGCACATATGAGGATATTGTTGTTCAGAAAAATCTTTTTAAAATGCAAATCAGATCACATTATTCCAATGCCTAATCTCTTTCGATGGCAGCATTTCTGCTTCCAGCTATAACAGAATAGCTTAGATCATACTAGTACTTATAACAACTATAAATGCAGGGGAAATGTTTGAAGATACTGAGGAATGATTAAGACAGTTAGAACTTGACAGACCAAGATCCAGAAAGCAGGAAAATTATTTCACTTGAGGCAACTGCTTATTCACAAGCAGGATGGGGCAGACAGGCTGAACAGAAAACAGTAGCTCAGAGCTTTCCATAGTTTAATGGAACTGAAAGACAAAAACTGGAGTTTGGGACCTATAAAGAAAAAAGGCCCCGTCTTTCATTTGAGACCTCTGAAGGGCTGTATCCTAGGACAAAGGAGAAACTGAAAATAACAAGCTGTCAGAATGACAGGAATAAAACCTTGAATCGTCTCACTTTCTAACTGCATCAAGCTGGTCTATCTGTACTTAAATTCCTTCCTGAAGAAAATACATTCCTCTCTGAGATAACAGATCATCATCCAGAACCTTTACATTTTATTCATACACAATTTCTGACACCCAATCCAAAATTACCAAGCATACATACATACAAAATCAAATGACTGAAAACCAGGAGAAAACTCAGCACAAATGGACCTGGTGGATGGTTTAAATATTACAGTTACATAAGGATTTTAGAATAAATAACTGTTATTCATATTACTTTTTAAAAAGATGACCAGACAGATAATTTTACCAGTGAAATAAAATCAATGATAAAGAATAAAGTGGAAATTTTTGAACAGAAAGTTCTATAATTGAATTTAAAACCTAGTGGACGGGCTTCATAGCAGAATTGACACAGAAGAAGAAGATTAATTAATAAGAAAATAGGTCAGAAAAATTTCTGGATGAAAACATTGAGAAAAAAATAAAAATGGTAGAAAAGAACATAAAGACATGACATAAAGGAATAAGACACAAGTAATTAGAATCCCAAAAGCTATGGAGAGATAAAGATTGAGATAAAAGAAATATTTGAGTATATCCAGGCCAAGTATTTACAAAACTTGATAAAAGACATCAAATATAGAATTGAGAATCCTGACCAAACTCAAGCACGATAAATTTGTCATAAAGTATTAACTACATCGGGTTTACATGAATTGAATAATCTAGTTTGAAATACAATTATTGATATATTAATAACAAATTAGGCTTCAAAGCATTTCTAGAGATAAATATGAAAAAAATACTGATAAAAGGGTCATTACACCAAAAATATACAAACATTCTTAATGTTTATAGACCTAATAACACAGTTTTAAATTTTATAAAGAATAGTACATTCACAACCAAAGTTTGAGATTTTGACATACCTCTCCCAGTAGCTGAGGAAACAAGTCAAAAGCAAATATATGTATACATATATATGTATACACACACACACACATATATATGTCATTATATATAAATGCCTTAATTTGCATTTATAATGCACTGCTTTTAAAATAAGCAAAATGCATGTTACTTCCCAGGGCAAATTGAATGTTTAACAAAATTGGACCATATGATAAGCAATAAAACAAGTTCATTTTAAAGCACCAAAATCATACAATCCATATGCTCTGACCACGGTAGAATTAAGCTAGAACTCAAATACAGAAAAATAACTACATAATCTTCAAATCATTTAAATTTAAGCAACATATTTTTTAAATAACCCCTGGATTAAAGAAAAATTACAATGAATGCTAGAATATATTTTGAATTAAATAATATAGAAAATACCATGTCAAAACCTAGGGAAAGTAGCTGAAACTCATTAAAGAGAAACTTACGGCCTAACATGCATATATTAGAAAGGAAGAAAGTTGAATATCAATAATCTATACTCTAATTCAAAAAGTCAAAAAAGAAAAATCAAACCCAAAGGAAATAGAAATGAGAAAAAGTGAAAAAAAAAAGGCACAAATTTATAAAACAGAAAAAAGTGTACAATAGAGAACATCAACAAGGCCAGCAATTTGCCCTTGGGAAAATCTAATACAATTAAAACTCTCTTAACAAGCCTTATTGAGGAAAAAAACTACAGCACGAATGACCAATATCAGGTATAAAAACAAAAGGGATATTGATAGAGATCCTACAGATGTCAAAAAGATAAGAACAGTAACTTTATGTCAATGAAGTTGACAATTTGAATAAAATGGATAAGCAATTTTTTTTTTTTTTGAGATGGAGTCTCCCTGTATTGCCCAGGCTGGAGTTCAGTGGAGCAATCTCAGCTCACTGCAACCTCTGCCTCCTGGGTTCAAGCGACCTGCCTCAGCCTCCTGAGTAACTGGGACTACAGGCGTGCACCACTACGCCCGGTTAGATTTTTTTTTTTTTCAGTAGAGACAGGGTTTCACCATATTGGTCAGGCTGGTCTCGAACTCCTGATCTTGTGATCTGCCCACCTTGGCCTACCAAAGTGTTGGGACTACAGGCGTGAGCCACTGTGCCCAACCCAAATAAGGAAATTTTTTGAAAAACACCAACTTGCAACAAAGATGGAGCTGGAGGCCATTATCTTAAGTGTAATAATTCAGACATGGAAAGACACATACTGCATGTTCTCACTTATAAATGGGAGCTAAATAATGTGTGCACATGGAAGCAGAGTGCACACTGTCCATCATGAATGTGTGGACAATGGAGACTTAGAGGGGTGAGGGGTGGGAGATAGTGGATGATGGAAGGTTGCTTGGTGGGTACAATGTGCCTTCCTCCAGTGATGGAGGCACTGAAGGCCCTGCCTTCACCATAATGCAAAATACATCAGTGTAGCAAAACTGCACTTGTACCCTATGGACATATACAAAAAATAATAACAACACATTAAAAAAAAAGAAAAACTGTAACTTACAGTTAACATGAGAAGAATGTAAAATCTGAAGAACCCTAAATCTTTTAAATAAATAAAACCAGTAATTTTAAACGTTTCCAGAATAGAAATTCAGGCCAAGATGGCCTCACTGGTGAATTCTCCCAAATACGTAAGGAAGAAATTACAGCAATCATACACAATCTCTTCCAAGAAAGAGAAATAAAAAGCAATTAGTAATGCATTTTATGTGGCCATTATAACCTTGCTATCACAAGGGTATTATTAGAAAAAACTTACAGTACAATCTCTCTCATTAATGTATTCTCAAAAGTCATATACACACAAATACACTCATTTATATGTGTGTGTGCATATTTTTTCAGATACATAATATTGGTCTAATATTTGATATGATATCACCTCATTAAAGAATAAAGGAAAACCTATACAATTATTTTAATAGGTGCAGAAAAAAATCTGACACAATTACACAATACTTACTTGTGATTTAAAAAAAACTATTTGCCAATTAAAAAATAGAAAAAAACTGTTTTTTAACATAGTGAAGGTTTCTAAAAAAGAAAAGAGAGACTAAAACATCATACTTAACGGTGAAATAAAACCTGAGATCTGGAATCAAATCAAGAAGCCTCTCATCTCACCCTTCCTTCTTGCCTACTTTCTATTCATTCTTCCTTGCTCAGCACACAGTCATCTCTTCCCAGAACCCTTCCAGGACTCTGCAAGATCAGGTTCCACTTTCATTCTGTGTGTTTTGCTTCCCCAGCTCTATGCTAGCTCTTTTCTTACTTTGTTATTATTACTTCCTTTTTTTTCCTCCTTCCCACTAAGCTACAAGCTCTTTTAAGGTGAAATCATCTGCTTGTTCACCTTCACATCTTCCAACACCTGGCACATAATAGACTTTCAAAAACTCTTTGATGGATGTTGAGCTACTGCATGAAGTGAATTGTCCAAAATCTTCTAGATAATCAATGGCAATTTGGACTAGAACTTGGCTTCTTCATTCCTACCTGGTCCTTCATTAACTACCTGCCTAAAAGCACAGACTCTCATTTTCCTCTTTGTTGTTCCAGCTTACCACTTCCACAGATAGGTCAAAGGCTCAACCCATAAAAGTAAACCTAGAGGTCTTAATTTTTATTCTAACAAGGACAATGACATAGAGGTGACTTTATGGCATTATATTTTTCCATAATGTCTCCTGCTAATGGCGAGATAAAGGTAGATAAAAGTCATTTAACCACATAGTTCACTGAGAAGAAAATCAAATGAGGGCTGATTTATTGATGTATATTTTGGACATCCCTTCTCAATTCCACATTTAGTGACATCATGTTGGTAGCCTGAAAACAATCATGGTGGGGATATTTACACCATGGCAAACGGGAGAAGCCAAGTCCACTCAGATTTGCTGACTCTTATTACAGCTCATTCCATTGCCTCTGCTATTGACCACCACAGCCACCATGAAAACAACTAATGCGATAACAAGGTGGTTATATATAAGTTAACATTTTGGAGGCAAGTCTCCTATCCCAACTCTGCCAAGTTCACTTGCTCCTGATGTAGGTAAAGCTTGTCAAGAAGTCATTAGAATAATTCCTAAAATCAGCACTGAAATTCCAGGGCTGGCATTTCAGTTGAAATATTCTAAAACAAGATTGCTGCTTGAATCACTTAGGAAATAGTAAATGATCACAATGTGTGTTCAGGGAAACATCAGCTGAAAGAGAAATTTCTTTTCCTTCATAGAATTAAAAAAATTTTTTAAATTAAGAAAATTAACAAAGTCTCATATAGAGGGGACATGCATATTATGTACCACTTTATTTCTTAGTTAAGGGTTTAGATGATGTGGAAATTGATCTATCAACATCTCCATAATTGCAACCAATACCACAAAATAAAATCCTGAGTGTTCACCAATCATATTTTAGTGCTCAACATCTCATGGAAGCAGCTGTTAATGATGCCAAATATAGTTTCCACAGCATGCAAAATGAACTAATGACCAAGTCTACATTTTAGATTTCAGAGAGGTTCTTTTTCTTTGCTGCAATTAATCCTAAATTCTGCAGAGATCATAGTCTGCTGATTCACACAGAGGTCAGAGGGAAGGATGGTTTATGATGCCAGAGGTCTGTCCAGCATGCTCTTCCTGTTGCCAGATGTAAAATAACAAAGAACTCTGTGTGTGTGTGTGTGTGTGTGTATGTGTGTGTATGTGTGTAAATAGATTGTGAAAGCAACTGCTATCCCTTGAGGGTTTTACCACATTGCTTGTGTGTGATTACGAAAAAGAACCTCCTTGGCATCCTACAGGCTGTAGCGCTTCATGAACTGGCTCCAATCACTGAGACAGTGCAGTTGAGAACACAGTGGCCCATCCACATCACCCAGGCTGACAGACATTATAAGCTAGACAAATTTGATTGGTTATCTGTTATAGTGTGGCGACTTTCAGGAAATACCGAGATTTTCACTTAAATTAGGTATGTCTCCAAATATTTAAAATTGATGCATTTCACATATGATAGAAAAGAAATATTCAGTAATGGGTACCTCAGTAGGAAGGTATTGCATATTGTAATTTTGTACCAGAAAATTCCACACAGTTTGATTTCTTAGTAACTATCTAAAAATTAACCTGTAAATTTAGTAGGACCAGCATGTCATCTGCTTTTACTATGTATAAAAGCATAGATAGTACAATAGAAGCTTTTGAAATATTATGAAAATAATGTTTTCAGGTATAGGTTTTTATATCTATCTATCTATCTATCTATCTATCTATCTATCTATCTACCTATCTATCTATCTATCTATGTATCTATCCATCTTAAAAAAGTTTATTTTTACATAGCCAGCACCTGAGTCCTTACAACTTACCAAATGCTGTTAACATCCCACTTTTACCTGCATTATCTTAGAGTATCCTCACAACAACCCTTTGAGATAGGGAATATAATGTTCATTATTTTGCAAGGGAAACAGACAAACCAACATCCTCAAGGTCATACAGATAGTGAGTACCAGAGCCTGGATTTGAACCCAGGCAGACTGTCACCAGAGTCTGGGATTATAGCCATGATAACATAAGGCTTCCCAGGAGCCAGATGGATCCTGGGCAAGTCTGAAGAACCATTTGGAGTTGTTCAGAACAAACCAGGTTACATCAGAGTCACATCACAACTTTTGGCAATGAAACCATGCCAGACAACTCAATGTGTTTTAGATTTTGGTACTACTGAATGAAATACACCATACATGCATTAATGATTATTTATGTCTACTAAGTATCTGCCAGTATATTCCTTCAGAATTAAAAGATTTGAGCCAAAAAGAGTTTTTACTATTTAGAATGTACAGATACATCTTTTTTTTTTAATTTAAAGCACGAAGGTAGTTCCAATCAGCGACAGTAATTCAAAATATTTATGTACAGTGCAACTAACAGTACAAGTATCACAATTCTAATCTACGCTAAGCAAATAAAACAAAATTACAGCTCAAGTGGAATTCCTTTTTTGTGTTGACTTTCCATGCCACCTCAACAATGTTCCTTAAATATTTGATTACTGAAATATTCTTATTAGGTTAGCTGTAACAAAGCCCTATTTTACTCAAGGGAATAATAACTAGGCCTGTGTATATAACAACCCAAATAGTTCTTCCCATTCTACCATTCTAACAGAGGCCATAAGACAAAAAATCTGTGGGTTGATGCATTTAGTTTTTTATAAGTATCTTATATAAAATACATATCCACACAAACATTCTCAATTTCAAATCACATTAAATGTTTTTTTCTCTTCTACCCCATGACACTTAGTACAAATTATAAGATATGACCCGGACCCACCTTGTATTAATAAATGTATGGGCACACAGACTTATTGTCTTTCTTCTACTAAATTATAAGCTCTTTGAGAGTAAGAATCATCTTATTCACCTTCCTAATTCTTGAAGTAAGCAGCAGAATGCATTGTTCCATGAAAATGTTCAATGTGTTCTTCACAACATTGTGAACTGATGTGTTGAATCAGGTTAGCTCAGTCATCCCTGTGTTATCTGAAATATTTCGATATTACTAATTAAGTTTCAGTAATATGTCAAATTTTAACAGCTGCCTCCTTAAAATCTATTTGAAACTATATTTCCTATAAATATGTAAATTGTCACTATTATAAAATACCTAAACCTCTGCACATTTTCAAAATATACAATCTCATACTAAAGGTAGTTGTCTTTTGGATTTAATATTTCAATGCTAAATTGAAGAACAAATGAAAAAAAAAAAAGAATGACAACCCCTTCTTGCTTTTTTTATTGTATTTGGTTGAAAAGCGTAAGTGGAATGAAATATTCAAAGAAACTGTAACCAAAATGTTTTGCCCTTCATCAAAAAATATAACAAATATTTAGATGAAAACACATTCAAAAGCTAGCAGAAGGCAAGAAATAACTAAGATCAGAGCAGAACGGAAGGAAATAGAGACACAAAAAACCCTTCAAAAAAATCAATGAATCCAGGACCTGGTTTTTTGAAAGGATCAACAAAATTGATAGACTGCTAGCAAGACTAATAAAGAAAAAAAGAGAGAAGAATCAAATAGACGCAATAAAAAATGATAAAGGGGATATCACCACTGATCCCACAGAAATACAAACTACCATCAGATAATACTACAAACACCTCTATGCAAATAAACTAGAAAATCTAGAAGAAATGGATAAATTCCTCGACACATACACTCTCCCAAGACTAAACCAGGAGGAAGTTGAATCTCTGAATACACCAATAACAGAAGCTGAAATTGTGGCAATAATCAATAGCTTACCAACCAAAAAGAGTCCAGGACCAGATGGATTCACAGCCGAATTCTACCAGAGGTACAAGGAGGAACTGGTACCATTCCTTCTGAAACTATTCCAATTAATAGAAAAAGAGGGAATCCTCCCTAACTCATTTTATGAGGCCAACATCATCCTGATACCAAAGCCGGACAGAGACACAAACAAAAAAGAGAATTTTAGACCAATATCCTTGATGAACATTGATGCAAAAATCCTCAATAAAATACTGGCAAAACGAATCCAGCAGCACATCAAAAAGCTTATCCACCATGATCAAGTGGGCTTCATCCCTGGGATGCAAGGCTGGTTCAATACACGCAAATCAATAAATGTAATCCAGCATATAAACAGAGCCAAAGACAAATACCACATGATTATCTCAATAGATGCAGAAAAGGCCTTTGACAAAATTCAACAACTCTTCATGCTAAAAACTCTCAACAAATTAGGTATCGATGGGACATATTTCAAAATAATAAGAGCTATCTATGACAAACCCACAGCCAATATCATACTGAATGGGCAAAAACTGGAAGCATTCCCTTTGAAAACTTGCACAAGACAGGGATGCCCTCTCTCACCACTACTATTCAACATACTGTTGGAAGTTCTGGCTAGGGCAATTAGGCAGGAGAGGAAATAAAGGGTATTCAATTAGGAAAAGAGGAAGTCAAATTGTCCCTGTTTGCAGATGACATGATTGTATATCTAGAAAACCCCACTGTCTCAGCCCAAAATCTCCTTAAGCTGATAAGCAACTTCAGCAAAGTCTCAGGATACAAAATCAATGTACAAAAATCACAAGCATTCTTATACACCAATAACAGACAGAGAGCCAAATCATGAGTGAACTCCCATTCACAACTGCTTCAGAGAAAATAAAATACCTAGGAATCCAACTTACAAGGGATGTGAAGGACCTCTTCAAGGAGAACTACAAACCACTGCTCAATGAAATTAAAGAGGTTACAAACAAATGGAAGAACATTCCATGCTCATGGGTAGGAAGAGTCAATATCATGAAAATGGCCATACTGCCCAAGGTAATTTATAGATTCAATGCCATCCCCATCAAGATACCAATGACTTTCTTCACAGAATTGGAAAAAACTACTTTAAAGTTCATATGGAACCAAAAAAGAGTCTGCATCGCCAAGTCCATCCTAAGCCAAAAGAACAAAGCTGGAGGCATCACGTTACCTGACTTCCAACTATACTACAAGGCTACAGTAACCAAAACAGCATGGTACTGGTACCAAAACAGAGATATAGACCAATGGAACAGAACAGAGCCCTCAGAAATAACGCCGCATATCTACAACTATCTGATCTTTGACAAACCTGAGAAAAACAAGCAATGGGGAAAGGATTCCCTATTTAATAAATGGTGCTGGGAAAACTGGCTAGCCATATGGAGAAAGCTGAAACTGGATCCCTTCCTTACACCTTATACAAAAATCAATTCAAGATGGATTAAAGACCTAAACGTTAGACCTAAAGCCATAAAAACCGTAGAAGAAAACCTAGGCATTACCATTCAGGACATAGGCATGGGCAAGAACTTCATGTCTAAAACACCAAAAGCAATGTCAACAAAAGCCAAAATTGACAAATGGGATCTAATTAAACTAAAGAGCTTCTGCACAGCAAAAGAAACTACCGTCAGAGTGAACAGGCAACCTACAAAATGGGAGAAAATTTTCGCAACCTATTCATCTGACAAAGGGCTAATATCCAGAATCTACAATGAACTCAAATAAATTTACAAGAAAAAAACAAACAACCACATCAAAAAGTGGGCGAAGGACATGAACAGACACTTCTCAAAAGAAGACATTTATGCAGCCAAAAAACACATGAAAAAATGCTTGCCATCACTGGCCATCAGAGAAATGCAAATCAAAACCACAATGAGATACCATCTCACACCAGTTACAATGGCAATCATTAAAAAGTCAGGAAAGAACAGGTGCTGGAGAGGATGTGAAGAAATAGGAACACTTTTACATTGTTGGTGGGACTGTAAACTAGTTCAACCATTGTGGAAGTCAGTGTGGCGATTCCTCAGGGATCTAGAACTAGAAATACCATTTGACCCAGCCATCCCATTACTGGGTATATACCCAAAGGATTATAAATCATGCTGCTATAAAGACACATGCACACATGTGTTTATTGCAGCACTATTCACAATAGCAAAGACTTGGAACCAACCCAAATGTCCAACAATGATAGACTGGATTAAGAAAATGTGGCACCTATACACCATGGATTACTATGCAGCCATAAAAAAGGATGAGTTCATGTCCTTTATAGGGACGTGGATGAAATTGGAAATCATCATTCTCAGTAAACTATTGCAAGAACAAAAAACCAAACACCGCATATTCTCACTCATAGGTGGGAATTGAACAATGAGAACACAGGGACACAGGAAGGGGAACATCACACTCTGGGGACTGTTGTGGGGTAGGGGGAGGGATAGCATTGGGAGATATACCTAATGCTAGATGACGAGTTAGTGGGTGCAGCGCACCAGCATGTCACATGTATACATACGTAACTAACCTGCACATTGTGCACATATACCCTAAAACTTAAAGTATAATAATAAAAAAAAAGAAAATGAAAAAAATGGTCTAAAATGTACTAAGCCTATTATATAATTTTCCATGGGAACATACTTTTAGATAATGTAGCCAAACTGTTCTAGTATAATCTATCTCCTGGACTATTTTTTTCTTTGGGGGATATCAAAATATTAGAAGAAAATGTATCATCAATTAACGTCTTCCTGTTTCCTTGGACATCTCCATTTCCCATGAAATGTGCTGGAAGTAAGTAAAACTAAAGTGTCAGTTCCAGAATATGCTTGGTAGTAAGGACCAACCATTTGAGAAATGCTTATTTAAAACATCTTTACTCTTTAACATGTTTCTTAAAAAATAATTTCTTACAAGAGAGAAGGGTACTCGATGAAAACCCACCATACAAAAAATATTGTACATAATATATGTAGTATGAAAATGTGTAAATTAACTTGGCAAACTATGTCATCTCCAATGAGCTGCTAAACATTATAACCTACTCTATCCATCATGTCATTGGTACTAATGGCCTCTTTGGATTAGGAATCTAGGAAACAGATTGTAAAGGATATAAAATGAGCATATATTTATAGAGATGAATTCTGTGTACTTTTTATAACTACCTTGCAATATCGCAGGTGTAAGATTGGGAAATATCCAAATTAAACTAAACTGGTTCACAGCTATTAATATTTAGGGCACTACAAGTTCAGCTAAGACATAACTCAGTTTCTATCTGTTCTTTCAGAGAAATAAAATGGTCAGTCAGAAAAAGGTAAGCTGACAGAGCTAGTGGGGTAGGGATGTTTTTTAAAACTATAACTTACAACAGATTCCCCAAGGAATTAAAGTAAAGAGGCATGTACCAGAGCTGACATGAGGATGAAAACAGTATTTTATATAGTTCTGTCAGCAAACCATGTGCCTGCCATCGTAATTTATGGTCTTAGCTATTTTGCCCTTAGGAAAAATAACTATATACAAGGTAGGCAATGATTTGGGTATTGAGCAGTATTTTGAGTGGACATGTTTTTAATTAAAATTAACCAAAAACAGAGTTTTTGAATCACCAGTCCTCAGATAAATGGCAGATACTGCAATTCTAAAAAATCGTATGAAATATCCAATACTGTCAGTTTCTAAGTGCCTTTAAGCTACTTTGTAAAAAAAAAATGGTCTGAACAAAATTGACTTTGAAAATTCAATAAATTACAAAAAATGTCCCAAACAAATGATTTTGATATTATTAGTATATACATAACTGATAATTGTGGGAATTTAAAATAATTTATACCATATGGTGACTCTGGGGAAGAGCAAATAATACCAAGAAGAATATCATCCACTGAGCAATAAAATATGTTTCATGATCTAAAATTCTGACCCTATTAATTCTTCCAGGTTTCAGTTAAATAATTAAACTACCATAAAAAATAAAGCTCTGAGACACTGGTCCTTCACTAAAAAGGTAACATACACCAAGAAAATCCTGAAAAAAAAAGATTATTTGATAATTCGAATATCCAGATTGAAATAAACTGGTCTTATTTTCAAATAAGTAATCTTATTAACTGGTACTACTTTCCTAAACGTGAACTTAACATTATGTATGGGTACCTTAAAATGTTTGTCTCAAACACTCAAGAATTTACCACTTCACATGTGCCATACCATTAGCAGATCTACGATGGATTAAAAGTCAAATTGCAGTACAGCATAGACAGCTCTTCTCTGGCACCAGGCAGGTTGCTATATCTAGTGACTTCCAAAAATTAAATTCTATATTTTCTCAAATGTTGACACTCAGGCAGCAGTCATCTTCAAAAAAAAAAAACCAAAAACTGGCCAGGAAATTTCTTCATTTGGAAATTTAAAGTTCTTTAGTGTGAATTCAAAAAGCTGCACAGGATTTTAACAAAGAAAATTTGTGAACAACCAAAAAAAAAAAAGGGTGACATAACAATGCTAACAATGTTTACTGATGCTTTGCGTTTTAAGGCAAAATGAATTATATCTGAGTCACAGTGGCTAAAAAAGGCATAGAATTCTCTATCCACGTGAACCAATCTAGAAATATCTGAATGGGAAAGAAAAATCTCCTTTTCTAAGAAGGACGATCTCTTTAAAGAAGTCTTCTCTTTGGGGAATAGAGCTCCAGGGGGCAAGAGGTCTTGCTTTGGATAAATAGCTAAGTTCTTAGAAATGGGATGAGAGATGTTTTACCCAGACTTCCAATTAGTGGGTTGCTATGATGTACTGCTCGATTTGGGTTTGTTTGCCTCTTTGCTAAATGAAAGCATCCTGTAGATTCTTTTCCATTTCAGTTTTGCCTTGGGACTCAAGGAAGATGGAAAATCAAGTTAAGTGGATGAAGTTGTTCCTCAGAATTAATGGCTGATATTAAAAACTGAAGCTAATTTTGATCTCCACAATTTTTTTTCCTGCACAAACTGGGTTTCTGACCACCCCTCAGTTTCCTTCAGTATGCAAACTGCGCTAATTCTGGAAGGCACCATGGCGTAATGGAAGTGGGGGATTAAGTTTTGGGAGGAGAAGCGCCTAAGAGTGACTTGAATATATTCCTGTCTGTCTGTGTAGCATTTTTTATTATAATTGCCTATTTGCATCTTTGTCTTCTCCAGTAATCTACGAGGCCCTTGGTAACACAGACTGTAACTTCTGTTTAACCCTGGATAACTCAGTATCTGACAATCACTAGATATGTAAAAATGTAAGATGAAAAGAAAATAAATAAGCATGGTGGATTTTGACGAACTCCTCAACTTCTCTAAGCAATCTCCTCATTTGAAAGACATGGACAAAAATATTCATTTGGGGTTTATTTCTAAGAATGATGGGAAAATATTTGTAAAGAAATATGGCATATGGCATGTGGTCAATAAATGCTTTTTCCTTCCCTTTTTCCTACTTTGAAAAAAATCTCAATAAAGAGGGAAGAGCACACCGGTTCACTTATAAATAGGACATAGAAGATGAATATGCTGATCTTTCTAAGGAGTGGATATTGTTTTATACCACAGTAGTTCCAGTACATGCTTTGGAGTCTGGCAAACCTATATTGAAATAATGGACCTATTCCATTCTAGCTATAGCAAACTGAGAAATTAACTTAACCTCTTTAAACCTCAGTGCCCAATTAGCAAAAGAGGAGTGATATCCACTTTCTACAGGGTTTGTATTAAATTAAATGATGAAATGCCTGAATAGAGTTTATTACAGAGATTAATTTTAAGTGCTCAATAGATGGTAGCTAAATCTAGCTAAATTACCTATCATCAAAACAGCACAATGGCACAAAGGTGAGTTTTGTATATGGAGGCATAACCCAGAAATATTTTTTAGAAGGAAAAATAAATAGCACTACATGTGAGGCTTAAAACCATTTAAAATAATGGAGACTGGGTTTAAACGGTAGCTTCCCTCCAGCAGATCTCACAAAGATGCAAGCTTTTCAGTTTCACAGATATCTGTTTCCCCTCTGGAGGGGGAATTAAGGGAAGGAGCAAGAGACGGAACTACATAATGCCCACTAAAATATTTGGAATCTTTTTCTTTTTCCCTTTCTTTCTCCTACAAAGAACATCTCCTGAATAATAGACAAACGTCATTCTAGTCTTCTAACCTTACACCACATCAAAAAAAAAAAAAAAAAAAAAAGCATTTCTAAAGCTCTGCAGACTTTTCTGAGTCATCCTGCTGCATTCTACACCCAAACTCTCAGAGGCAGGTCACTCTACTTTGCCTGGGGATGCTCTCTCACCCTGCCTAGTCCTCCCGTGGATTTTACCCTGAGAGCAGCTGCTTCCAGGGTCCCCACACTGCCAGCCACCTGCACTTACATCTGCTCCTGTGCCTAAGCTCTGCTAGCTGTCATCTTTTCTGGCTACCCACCAAGTCCCCCACAACTCCTAGATAGTAAATAGATCTGTACCAAAAAGTAAGATGGTGCAGCTAAAATTAAAAAGCTGACAAAAAACAGTTATCAATCATAAACACATCAGCGCATTTTATTCAATGTTTTATAGTTAGCGGAATGCTTTTCTATACATGATTGCATTTGGCCCTGTGCTTACTCCCAATATGCTAATATTAATAAAAATAAGGTATCATTAATTGAATGCCTCCTCTAGGTTTTAAGCCACATCATTTTAACACTCACAACAAGTCTATCAGGTAGGTATGATTTTTACCATTTTCAGATAAGGAAATTAGGGGTCAGAATGGTTAAGTGACATGCCCAAGTTTAAGCAACCAATAACCAATGAATCCGGGACTGCAAACCAAGTCTCTGATTCTTAGTTCAATGCTCTTTCTCTTTAACTAGAAAAATTGGATGTCACAGATCCATTACTGAACTCTAAAAGAAATCTTCACAAATCAAGAGATTCCACAGATTCTTCACTTGCAATCCCATTCCCTGTCTAAATATAATATCAATTTTGTTACTCTTTGAACGTGATTCTTTCTCATGATCCTAAGATACAGAAAAAGTTTCTTTTTTAAGTTCAGAGGTACATGTGCAGGTTTGTTGTTTAGGTAAACTCATGTCATGGGGTTTCATTGTACAGATTATTTTGTCACCCAATGTATTAAGCCTAGTACCCATTAGTTATTTTGCTTGATTCTCTCCCTCCTCCATCTGGTAAGACCCAGAGTCTGTTGCTCCCCTCTATGTGCCCATGTGGTCTCATCATTTCGCTCCCACTTATAAGTGAGAACATGAGGTATTTAGTTTTCTGTTCCTGCAATAGTTTGGTAAGGTCAATGGCCTCCAGCTCCATCCATGTTCCTGCCAAGGAGATGATCCTGTTCTTTTTTACAGCTGCACAGTATTCAGTAGTGTATATGTACCACATTTTCTTTATCCAGTCTACGGTTGGTGAGCATTTAGATTGATTCCACATCTTTGCTGTTCTGAATAGTGCTGCAATAAACATACACATGCATTTGTCTTTATGATAGAATGATTCATATTCTTTTGGGTATATATACAAGTTTAGGATTGCTGGGTCAAGTGGTACTTCTGTTTGTAGGTCTTTGAAAAATCGCTCCCACACAACAAGTTTCTTCACAATTTTTCTAAGCTTAACTACTCATGGAAACCAAACCAAGGAGGTAGGAGCACAGCTGGGGCTCACGTGCTGCACTTTTGTTTTCATGGCTGACAACTTGGATGGATCTTCAAATTCCTCCTGGTGCAATGAAGTAAAGTAAGACAAATCGGAATGTCAGAAATCAGTGAAGAAAGTACTTCACACTCCTTGAAAGATGCACTAATTATGAGGCTGGTCCTGTTGTAAAACCTGCCTTCTTTGTATTGACTTCTCAGCAGCATTCAAATCAAACACTCCTTTCTTCTCAAGAGATCCTCTTCTCTTTGACAACTCCACACTCTTGCTCTTCCCTTCACATTGCTGACTTTCCTTCACAGTTTTATCTTTTTATTCCATATCTTATCTTAAAAATTCGAATTTCTCAAGGTTTGATCCTATCCCCTATTCTTAATCTGTATTCCTGTTTACGTATCACATATATGTTCAAAACTCTGAAATATCTATCTCTGACCCAGACTTCTCCTTTGAGCTCTAGCCTTTTATATACAATGGATGCTTGAAATCTTCTACTGAGATGTCTCTTGGGCATCTCAAATGTGACATTTCCACAGTGGAATTCTTTATTTGCTCCCAACATCATCTCTCTGCTGGACTGTTCTGGTAGCCTTCTAACTGGTCTTTTTCATGTCTCTTCCACTCATATAAAATAGAATGACCTCTTAAAACAGATGTCAGATAAACTCATAGCCCTGCTTAAAACTCTTTGATAGTTTATTGTTGCACTGAGAACAGACGCTGGACACATTTTAGAAGACTCAAGATATAGCATATTCTAGATCCCGCCTCTGTCTCCATTTTCATCTCATTCCATTCTATGCTGCATGTCTGTCTCAATCTACACTCTGGTCATACTGACTAGAAGTTAGAGACATGTAGCTTCTTCCCGCCTCATGGCTTCTGTTCTGATTGGTCTTGTAGCCTGGAACATTCTTTCCTATGTGTCATCGTCATCCTTTAGCTCGCAGCTTAAATATTGTTTCCCCAGAGTGAAGATCTTCTCAGAAACCCTATGGAAATAAGTCAGCGTACTTAATTTTTATCAGGGCACTCTGTTTCTTTCTTACAGTTATCACAATCTGCAATTAATCAGATCATTGATTTTTGGTTTGCATTTTAATGGCCCATTTTCTTCCACCAGAATGTAATCGCATAAATGCCACATCTGCCATGTTCACCCTCTTGACCTCACATCACGAAGAGTGGCTAGAGTGGATTAGGTTCGTTAAGGGATGAAGGAAAGAAGCACCAAAGGACATTACTGGGAATAAATGCTCACGGAGCTCCAGGAAGAGCAACGTGCTGTCAGGGATTCTCCCACATGTACAACGCACCGCTTGATAGGAAACATTCTTTTGAAAAGTTTCACCAAGGTTTCTAAAAGCAACTGCCACCCACAATCCTTTGTTAGCCACAGGTCTGTTTTCAGTGTTTATAGAAACAGCCACACCCTCCCACAGTCATATGTAAAGAGGAGGCATATGACACAGCACAGACACATTCAGCCAAGAATATTCCTGAGAAAGAACCAGTTCCCATTCAGAGACATACTGTTGAGTTGAAGCAAACAATTTTTAATTACATGTTTACATAAATGTTGATCAAACTAGACTGAAAGTCATCTTATTTTCAAGGCTGTTTCATATGGAGACAACTTCCTTGGGCAAGTCTTCCATGCATCAGCATGGAAGAACTCTGAAGATTAAGCCAGGGGTCTGGTCAAGACCTCTGCTGCCTACCAGCCAGCAGTCACTGAATGTCCCTGATGCTCAGTGTCTTCCTCTGTAAAATGTCTTCTCTGTAAAGGGATGTTATAAAGTTCAAATTTTTAAAAAAAGATATAGTTGAAAACCCTTGGAAACTATAAAATGACCTACAATGGTAAGGCAGTATTATTGTTTTATTTCTCTGAAATACTTAATAATGAAAATGGAGCCTATTTTCTTGATAATTCTTATTTGGGATATTAAAGGCCAATAAAGCCAATATTTGCTATGATGAAGGGCCACAAAGTGTAGCTTTTTACTAAACATTATACCAAATATCCACTAACTTAGGTGAGATGACCTACAGTTGAAGTTTGGGTTACAATCCAACTGTGTTTATTGTTTCTACTAGGCTGGAAAATTGTCTGAGATGAAGATCAACCTTATCTTTATATAATCAAAAAATTATATATTTGAAAAGATACTAGCATATCATGGTTACTCAACTCATAATCAATGAACTTGAAGGAAGGACTCAGATTTCTCCATTTCTCATCTATTCTGGAAAATTTATCTGGCTTTTTTTCCCTTATATTTCTGTTATGTTTATAAATTAAATAAGCAGCAAATAAATACACAAATTATGTAATACAAATATATAATACAAAAAGTAATACACAGATATTATACAATATTTTGATGATATAATATTTTGGCAATATTTACATAATATTTTGGCAAGTTAACTTGTTGTGCAAAGTTCTGCTTTATAACTGTGAAATACAAATGTAGAATGAATCATTTAAAATCTGGCAAGGATTTGCCAAAACCTTTCACATAAGGAAAATTTTGGAGGTGATGGATACAATTTTGGCATTTTTTAAATGTGAGTGTGTATTGTTGGTGTCAGCTTCTGGTGACAAGGTTGCCGCACATACCCGAAGGCCCCTTCTACCCACAAACCACTGCCACCAGTGAGTGTTACCTCTCCATACAAATGGAGCCCTAACAAGATTCCTCAAATAATTGATGTAGTTTCAAGTCCTGGGTATCAAATATGTTTGGAAACAGATCCTGCAGATAAAGAAAAACCAACACTTCTGACTAATGTCATGTTGACTTACAAATCGATGCTTTTCCCCTGTACTTAGGAATTTATATGGGCCTAAGAATTCACAGAGTCACATTTTAATCTTTTTTCTCTCTGCCTACAGGGAGAGGTGTTAATGAGCAAAGAAAGATCACTAAGTCTAAATAAGTTATAAACTTCAAAAAATAAAGTTAATTCATTAATGGCTTAATTAGCTCCTTGCTGCCTTTTTGAAGATCCAGGGCTCCAAATACACATATGCATGGCTGAAATGGGTAGGGGTGGGACAAAAGAAGGAAAATGGGATGTGAGTTCCAGACCTAAATTGTAGTAACTCCCTAAAGCTTCTTCAATTTAAATTAACAGACATTAGTTGAGAACTTCGTATGTACAAAGCTCTGTGCTAAAAAGAAGAAGGCATACAGTGATGAATAGTAGACATTTTCTGGATACTTTTCATCACAAGACCAAGAATATAGACATAATTAAGATAGTTGCACACAATCAGAGGTTCATCAATTCAAAAAAATTATTGAGTATTGATTGTTTGCAACTAAAGGGGGATTGAGTTTAATAATTTTCGTATCACCCTAAGAAGACGTAAGTTTATTATAGAGTCTTCTATTACATTGAGAATTTTAACTCCTCAAAACACAAGCATCAAATTCTTTTGGGAAAAACAAACAAACAAAACCTATTCACTATTAACAAGAGCTACAGTTTACAAAGCACATACTATGTGTCAGGGTTTTTTGTGTTTTACATATGAGAAGATGGAGGTTTTTAGAGGCCAGGTAAGCCTTCTAAAGTATCACAGGGAGGGGTATCAGAGCCAAGATGCAAACCTGGTTTTCTATAACTCTCGAGAACTACATAACTTTGCTTAGGATTTGTAAAAAGCCTGCAAAAACATGCTTTCTGGCTGAAGAAATCTGAGACTGGTTTGGATACTTAAAAAAAAAAAAAAAAAAGGATCATCTGCTTTGCCTGAAGGCTTATTTGGACTTGTCAATTTAGTATTATCAATTCCCAGTCTTTTCCTTGAGGAAAGAGCTGAGGAAAAATAAGGCTGGATCCTCCTGTGGCATCAACCCATCAGGAGTTCATCATATTCTTTCACTGTCATTTACGTTGGAGGATGTTGCTGTTTATGAGACTCAGGAGAGTATATCAAGAGCTTTCTCTCCATTGTGCCCTAAAGCTGTGTATACCTGGTTTCCCTTACAGTCAGTGGGCCCCAAAACACCGCAAATACTTTGCATATAAGTGCTCTGAGGTTTCTTGTTTCTCTGTTGGGATCAGTAAACTTTTTGCTCTGTATTTTATCTTCTGACTTTTCTGATTTCTCTCCTAAAGAGCAGCATTCTTTTCCTGTACATTTTTTGCTGTAGTTTTATCCTAACTTATCTCTTTTTCATAGACTGAGATTGTGGCTTCATTTTATTTCCTCTAGACTTTGAGCCATGTTTGTGTCCATTTCACTTGACAAACTTCACAGAGAATTTTATTTTATTTTTGCAGCAGAAACTGAAGAGTGATTTTTTAAAAACACGGCCCTCCACAGAGAACAGAATATTCTAACAAAGCAATGAAGTTAAATCTCACTGCATGTCACACACTAGAAAGAGATGGTGAATGATTATTTTGTTTTTATACACAGGGGAGTTTTTCCTCACATTAAAGGGGAAGATAATTCTTTCTTAAAAGTACTGCTCGGAATGAAAATTGAGATGTAAAGTGAGAGTGCACATGAAAAAGAATATACTGGGATATTGTAAATCTAGGCAGTGATTCTGTTCAGTCTTAGGTGAGGTGATGGCAGGCTGCAAAATCGGGAACTCTAGCAAGAGATATAGCTATGGTAGCAGCCTCCAACTCAGCTCCCAAGGATCTCCATCTCCAGCTTCCACACACTGTATTGTCCCTCCTACATCGTACCTGTGTTGATACAATAAAACTGAAGGATTTTCATTTCTGAGATGAGGCCATGCACCTAGATCTTTCTCTGATCATTTGTGTCACATGCTCTGAGGGAAGCCATGTCGTAAATAGCCACATGGAGAATCCCACGTGGTAAGGAGCTAAAGCTTCCTGACAACAGCCACACAGTGAGCTTGGAAGTGGATAATCCTGTTTCATTCATGTCTTTAAAATGGCAGCTTTGGCCAACAGCTAGATGACAGTCACATGGGAGACCTTGAGTTGGGGTCATTCCATGAAGCTGTTGTTGGATTCCTGACCCATAGAAACTGAGTTAATAAATGCTTGTTATTTTAAGCTGGTAAGTTTGGGAGTAATTTGTTACAAGGCTAATGGCTAATACAGTATAGCTAATATTGTTCACGCTATTCATCATTTAAACTATTTAACATATCATTTAAACCATTTAACATACTTAGAATAGACAAATTATATTTTCTCTGCAAATTTTCCAAGATTTATACTACTAATAACCATCAATTTTTTAAACCACTTGCTAAAGAGCAGAGATATTATGCTTAGTTGATCAATGAACAGAAATTCTGAGTGTCTACTAGGCGGCTGTTGTTTTTCAAATTTGTACATGTTAATCCTTTAATGTCAAGCATCTTAACTTAATATTATGCTTGTCAATAACCTGTGAATAATAAAAAGTGGTGCTCATTTACACAAAATAAATGAAGTTCTCATTCAACAAATAAACCAGTTTTTTCCAACTGAGTTTATAATGCAGCCTACTGAGACAGCCATTTTTCCCACAAACAGAAACAGGGAATGATCTATCTAAAAATCAGAAACATAACTTAAGAACAGAACCATACCACCTATTAATAAAGTATCTACCCTCCAAATCTTAAAATGTTGTATAAATGTGTCTTAACTAACAAAGTGACAATTATCATGTATAATAGTTTGATTTTCTTAGAAGAGGGAGTTTTGTCTCCAGAAACTCAAGTGTTTGACACTGAAAACAATTAAGATTTTCATGTTGTTGTCTTTTGTGTGACCAATGCACTCCACTTCCCCCTTATTGCCACCTGAGAAATTATTTGGTTTTAATATTAAGAAGCTAGTCAAACAGGCTTGTTTGTGGAAAAGGAGCTTACTGGAAGGCTTCAGAGGAAATTTTACAGAATTATAAAGCAATAATATTAGTCAAGGCTGTGGAAACTGGATTGTCTCTCTCTGGGACTCTATGCTTTCTCAATACTACTGTCCTATGGGTCTTCTCCATAGATCAGCTTCTTCTGCTTGTATGATGTCCACAATGGCCACCTACCCAAGTCTAGATGATCTTATTTTTTTTTAAAAAAACTTTATTTTGGGTTCAGGGATACATGTGCAGGTTTGTTATATAGGTAAATTCCATGTTATGGGGGTTTGGTGTACAGATTATTTCATCACCCAGTTGATAAGCATAGTATTTGATAGGTAGTTTTTTGATCCTCACCTTCCTCCCACCCTCCAGTAGGCCTCAGTGTCTACTGTTCCCTTGTATCCAGGTGTACTCAGTGTTTACCTCCAACTTATAAGTGGGAACATTCAGCATTTGGTTTTCTGTTTCAGTGTTAGTTTGCTTAGAATAATGGCCTCCAGTTCCTTACATGTTCCTGCACTGGGCATGATCTTGTTCTTTTTAATGACTGCATAGTATTTGATGATGTATATGTACCGCATTTCCTTTATCCAGTCTACTGTTGGTGAGCATTTAGGTTGATTCCATGTCTTTGCTATTGTGAACACTGCTGCGATGAACATATGCATGCGTGTGTCTTTATGGTAGAATGATTTATACTCCTTTGGGTATATACCTAATAATAGGATTGCCAGGTCAAATGTTCTTTGAGAAACTGACTAACTGCTTTCCACAGTAGCTGAGGTAATTTACATTCCAAGCAGCAGTGAATTTGTATGCTCTTTTATCTGTAGCCTCACCAGCATCTGTTATTTTTTGACTTTTTAATAACAGTCATCTGACTGGCATGAGATGGTACAAGTCTAGATGATCTTGACAGCTTCAGCGATAGCTACTCTCTAACTCTCAATCTCTTAGTTCAAAATCTTAGAAGAGAGATTCTTCTTGGTGGGACAAAGCAGCATATGGATTGACTCCCAGGGTCAGTTCTTCAGGGCTTGAACTAGTTATGGCCAAACTTCCATGGTCGGAGGGCACTGATATGGCCTTTAGCAACATCAATGTATTGAGCACTGAACAAAACCAAGGAAAGTGCACCACATTTGGAGCTACGTGTGATTTTTTAAAACTGTTTTCTAAAATTTGGCAAAATGACTAGCCCACTATTTGGAAACTGAGTTTTTAGAAGAGCAGATACATTTTTGAAAGTGATATTATTTGTATATTAGAGAGAAATTTTTTTTTGTTTTGAGACAGAGTTTCATTCTTGTCACCCAGGCTGGAGTGCAGTGGTGTGATCTCAACTCACCACATCCTCTGCAGGGTTCAAATGATCCTCCTCCCTCAGCCTCCCAAGTAGCTGGGATTACAGGCGCACATCACCACGCCTGGCTAATTTTTGTATTTTTAGTAGAAACGGGGTTTCCCTATGTTGGTCAGGCTGGTCTTGAACTCCTGACCTCAAGTGATCTGCCCACCTCGGCCTCCCGAAGGGCTGGGATTACACGCGTGATCCACCATGCCTGGCCAAGATAAAATCTTAAGTGAATATCTGGAGCCAGTATAAATTTAGATATGAAAACCAGATTGACATATTATCTTGTTATTGTCTATCTAAAAATTACTCAATAACTTAGAGGTGCTATGCTAGTAGATTCTGTGGGTCAGGAACTGAGACAGAGCACAATGGAGATGGTTAGACTCTTTGCCATGATGTTTAGGGCCTCTCATGGAAGAATCAAGTTGAAGGCTCGGCCGGGCGCGGTGGCTCACGTCTGTAATCCCAACACTTTGGGAGGCCGAGGCAGGAGGATCACGAGGTCAGGAGATCAAGACCAACCTGGCTAACACAATGAAATCCCGTCTCTACTAAAAATACAAAAAAAATAGCCAGGCATGGTAGTGGACGCCTGTAGTCCCAGCTACTCGGGAGGCTGAGGCAGGAGAATGGCGTGAACCCGGGAGGCAGAGCTTGCAGTGAGCCGAGATTGCGCCACTGCACTTCAGCCTGGGCAACAGAGTGAGATTCCATCTCAAAAAAAAAAAAAAAAAAGTTGAAGGCTCTAGGCCAGAATCATCTGAAGCCTCCTTCACTCACATTTTGCAATTGATGCTAAATATCAGCTGGATCCCCAGTTCCTCTCTCTGTGGGCCTTTCCATGTGATTTCTCTACATGGGGTAGTTTGGGCTTTCTCACAATATGTGGCTGTGTTCCAAGGTCTAACATCATGAGAGGGAGAACAAGGTAGAAGTTCTACTCCCTTTTATGACCTGGACTGTAGCATTATTCCTGTTACGTTCTATTGGACGAAAGTGAGTCACTAAAACTGGTCCATACCTCCCAATGGAGGAGTGTCAACATCACCTATAACATGGCCATGTGGGTTGGGATTTATCAGTGTAACTGTCTTTGAAAAATGTAATCTGCCACAACATAAATTAGGCATATACTTTTTAATTGTAAAAATATGTCTGTTAAAACCCACCAAGAAGCATGTATTTCTGGATATTGCACACAAATAATTATGCCACTTGCAGACTAAAGTACTTAAGAAATATATTTTTATTAGTACGTTTCTTCTTCAAATGACTTTTGTACCCATCCTTTTCATAGTAACGTCTCATCCTTTGTTTTCTATAGTGATAATAGCCTGGTAAGTATTTAACTTTTGAAACTTTGGCAAGCAAAGTTTTCACCTAAATATTTTTACGTATTGAATGGTTATCCAGTGGCACATGCAGAAATAATTATTGATTACTAATTACTTTGTAATCAGAGTTGATGTGTACAAGATGACCCAATAATCAAAAAAGAGAATCTCAGGTGATTAATAAATCCAACCTTATTAACTTATCCCAGGATCTGTTCATTCTCATTCCTGGAAAGACCCTCCTAAGTTTTGCCCATTTTTAAGTCCCATTTTCTACTGAAGGCATCCCTAAGTAGATAATAGAGCTCACCCCTTCTCTTCACATTTTATTCTTAGTTCAATGCCACAGAGCTTATTTTGCTCCTACTTGTTTTTCTAATAACTTTCTGGTTTACTTACTAAATTCTTACCATCCTAGTAGTGGTGTAATAGGGTAGTTAAGTCTCACCATCTCACCCACTTTTTTTTTAAATTTTTAAACCACACACTCTAACTAGTACAGTTCTGAATACAACATAAATATCTGTAAATAGTTATTGACATCTTTCCTAATTACAGTTGTGTCATTTGAAAAGACTTTACACGAAGTTGAATGGAATAAGTTCCGTTTCATGGAGTGGGAAACAGAACAGATAATGACCTTTCTACAAAATTGTCAGTGATAGATACATGTATTAAGAGTTCATTTGACAAGGAAACAAACTCTGATAAAGGAATGATGACAATAACCAGGAACTGATATTGAGAAGAAAGTAGTATCTTCCTGGAGCTTCAATGAGTCATATAAAATATTTAAACTAAAGTAGTTGCTGAATATTTTGCAAAACTACAATTCCCTCAGGATCATGGATTGTTTACCAGACAGGCTTCACCAGCCAATTCATTTTTCTTACGTTCATTCGTTGTGCAGTTATGTAGACAATTCATGATCCAAAGGGGCACAGAGATCATTTAGTACAACTTTTTAAGGCACCTGTTAAAATGGATCTTTGGCCTTTGATGTGATACTCTTCAATTTAGCAAAAGGCAGAGTCTGGTTAGCCCTCAATACCTTTTTTTCTGCTTCAAACACAGGAATGAAGACTAAATACTTCTGTCATGCAGCCTTTCATTATTCCTTCATCACTTTTTTCTTTTTCAGATTCTAGGTCATAACTTTCCAACATAGTTTGGTGTACTATTGAAACAATGCAGTCGTAAAATTGTCTTAAGAAGTAGTTTTCCTCAGCAATGACCCCAAAACAGGCTTACATGTTACATGTAGAAGAGAAAGAACCTGCCTGAAGCTCCTTCCAAGTGACATAGTTATATCATCATTTGCTTTTGTGAATATCACCACATAGTGAACTCTAAATGTTCTCCATTCCTAGTTCTTTTACAAACCCCAAAATTCGAACATCTTTTTTCAGTTATAAATGTTCATCTTCATGATTAATGCTTATAAACAAGACTTGCCATCTACTCATTAGTGTCTAAATTTTGAGTAAGAATGAGAGATACCTTTCCAGTAGAAAATATTTCTAAAACCTTTGAAATTTCTGGGAAAAAAAAGAGAAATTGTATTTGGGATTTGAATATGACTAAGATTTCAAATGTCTCCCAAAACCATTTACTGGGCTTCAGTAGAAACATCTGTGACCTCTGTTTTCAGGAAGGGCACTTACTGCCAGTTGCTCTTATCTTAAATCTGTTTAGCAAGAACAGGCATGGAAAGATAAGACGCAGTGAAGCAGTTTCTCTGATGGCAAATTCTTGATTGCTATAGAAAGTGATTAAAAATACACAGCTTGGTAGGTCAGCTTGCTTGAGACGGGGAAAAGGGGGTGGAGTGGGAGTTTATATACGCCACGAAGCAGTCAGGATGGGATATGTTCAGGATGTAGTTTACAAAAGAAGATGACATCTGTTTCTTCTATAAAAAAATTTTGGCAACTTCTAACTTGTTATATGACCTGTCCAATTTATTTGATCATGGCTGATAAAGACTCTTTCCTAAAGTTCATGCAACTCAAAGAATGATTTGTTTTCTGTAGGTTCTCTGATTTTTATACTTACCTATTTGTCAGACAACTTCTCTACTTAGTATAATGCTATCCTTGAAGCCTTCCCTAGGAGATTATTTTAAGAATGGGACATCCTTATCTTATAATAAAGTGCTTTTAATACTTGCATTCTCTTGAGTGACTTCCTGGTGAATTCCATTTTTCACTAGAGCTTTTTCTCCCTTGAAGAGTTTTTAGTTTTACAGACACAGATATCTATTCCATTTTTGTGTGTGGTCGCCAGTATCTTATCACTACCTAGGATGACAGTGTGAATGTTAATGTTAATTACTTAAGTATTTTCACATACTGGACTGTATATAAAGCCACTATTAGTGAAATTAGTTTGTCCCTTACCTACAACATTATTCTCTTATTCTTTTTCATCAAGCAGCATTCTTAATTGCCTTCTCATTGTGTCTAGATTTACAAATTACTCATTTGCTGCCTCAAATTTACTTGTTTCATGCATCTGAAAAGCAAAGCTAAACAATGATACTCAAAATGTGCATAAACAGCAAATATTTACAAAGTACATAAGATGTGCTTGTCCTCAAAGACCCATTGGAGATAAAGGACCAAGATTTAGAAAAACCGATGACCAGTCAGTAGAAAGAATGTAGTCTTCCATTCGTCTTATTATCTTCTTATTCATTCTATTTCTTTTATTTTTATTGGATCTATTCACCACTTGCCTTAGGGTAATAATTTTAAAACAACACATTTTATTGAGTGTGTGTATGTGTTTTTATAATGGAATAATTATGATGGCCATTATTCATATTTCTTTTCTACAACTCAAATTTAACCTTGGAATTTTTTTAAAAAGCTTGAAAATGTTTACAAGAGAATGTAGCCAAGTATAGGCTGAGGTTTGCACAATGGAAGCATAGGGTATATCTAATAAATTAGCTGGTATTCCAACTCAGCCAATGGACCAGTAAGAAATGATAATAATAAGTCCTGGAACACTATCTTGAATATTATTTTCTCCAGATTGCAGCCATGACTACCCTGTACCCTAACAAAATTTGCAAATGCAGAACACCAAGCTTGGCCAACGGATGAAAATTAAATCAAAATGCTTAAAAATATAAGTCCCATATTGATCTAAACATCAAAATGATTGAACTCATGAGAATAGGGAATAGAAGGATGGTTACAAGAGGCTGAAAAGGGCAGTTGGGACAAAGAGAGGTAGGATAGTTAATGGGTACAAAAAAAAAGAAAGAATAAATAAGCTGGGCACAGTGATTCACACCTGTAGTCCCAGCACTTTGGGAGGCCAAGGCAGGAGGATCACTTGAGCCCAGGAGGTTGAGGCTGCAGTGAGCTATGTTCACATCACTGCAGTCCAGCCTGGGAGACAGAGCAAGACCCTGCCTCAAAAAAAAAAAAGGAAACTTAAAAATTTTTTAATATATTTTACATATCTCTTTGCTTAAATCTTCTGCTAGGATAAGAGAGAAAATAAATTGTATTTGATTCAGAAATTCAGCCAATCTGAATACATTTTGGAAAAGCCATGCAAGTGAAAGGCATTTGCAGCTACCTCTTCAATGATCTGCAGAGAGTGAAGGAGAAACACAGTAGAAATCACTGTCATACTGGGAGTAATTTAGGAATTGAATCTGGATGCAAAGAAAAAAAAGAAAGAAGAGAGCAGGAACCACTGCTAGTAATGTTAATGTGGAGATTACCTTTATTTTATCTGAAGATAGGCAGCCACTGTCCCATCATCTTTACCTGTCATGAGACAAGCAAGAGTTAATTTAATTTTATATTTACGTATTTATTTATTTTTGAGACAGATTTTTGCTCTGTCACCCAGGCTGGAGGGCAGTGGTGCAATCTCAGCTCACTGCAACCTCTGCCTCCTGAATTCAAGTGATTCTCCTACCTCAGTATCCCAAGTAGCTGGGATTACAGGTGTGCACCACTGCACCCAGCTAATTTTTGTATTTTTAGTAGAGATGGGGTAGAGCAGCAGATCAGAACACATTTTGGAATAAGAAAATCTTGAAATCAAATATTATTTCCAGTCTTAGAATATTTACAAAATACTTAGTCTTTTTGAGCCTCAGTTTCTCTATCTTTAAAACAGATGTACTATAGTTATGTCATGGGAATTACTCTGAGAATTACACAATAATATATATGAAGCACAGTTCCTGGCACATAGTGGTTATTAAAATATATATGTATTAGTTGTCAAAGAGTCAAACTCTTAATATTTGAAGAGATTTAGACTGAGCCAAATGTGAATGACCAGTAGCCTGAGACACATCCCTCAAGAGATCTTAAGAACATGTGCCTTACATGGTTGGGTTACAACTTGGTTTTACACATTTTAGGGAGATATAAGACATCAATCAATATATGTAAGATGTATATTGGTTTGATTTGAAAAGGGGGGACAATTTGAAGTGGCAAGGTGTGAGGGGCTTCTAAGATTTTCTTTCCTTCTCTCTCTTTTTTTTTTTTTTTTTTGAGATAGAATTTCACTCTTGTCACCCAGGCTGGAGTGCAATGGTGCGATCTCGGCTCATTGCAACCTCTGTCTCCGGGGTTCAAGTGATTCTGCCTTAGCCTTCAAAGTAGCTGAGATTACAGGCACCCACCACCACGCCTAGCTCATTTTTTTTTTGTATTTTTAGTAGAAATAGGGTTTCAACATGTTGGCCAGGCTTGTCTCGAACTCCTGACCTCGGGTGATCTGCCCGCCTCAGCCTCCCAAAGTGCTGGGATTACAGGCATGAGCCACTATGCCCGGACAGCTTCAAAGATTTTCTAATTGGATGAAAGAGTCAAGTTATAGTCTAAAGACCTAGAATGAATAGAAGGGAATGTCTGGGTCAAGATAAGGGGTTGTGGAAACCAGGGTTCCCATTATGCAGAAGAAGCCTCCAGGTAGCAGGCTTCAGAGAGAATAGATTGTAAATGTTTCTTATCAGAGTTGATTTTCTTCTGGATCAGGAAAGAGGCCTGGAAAAGGAAAGGGATTCTCTTCAGAATGTGGATTTTCCTCATGAGAGACAGATTTGCAGGACTATTCCAAGATATGGCAAAAAACCATAATTTGAGATAAAATACTTTGATTTCTTTCAGGGTCTGCTATCTGTCAGGTGATACTATACTAGATTCAGGCTGGAATGTGGTATCTTATTGCTATAAACAGTCTGCCTTGTCAGTCTTAAAATCTATTTTAATGTTAATACTGGTCAGCTGTGCCTGAGTTCCAGAAGGGAGGAGGGAATATTGAGGCATGTCCTACTCCCCCATCCTATCATGGCCTGAACTAGTTTTTCAGGTTAACTTTGGAATGCCCTTGGTTGAGAGAAGGGGTCCACTCAGATGGTTGGGAGGCTTAGAATTGTATTTTCAGTTTACATAGTTTTCCTCTTCCAGTTTGCCTAGAAACAGAATTTGAATGGGAACGAAGACAATAATAATGGAAACCAATGAAGCAAAACATTCATCCTGTACAAGCAACTTTAAATGAACAAAGGTTTCCAGGTTCATTATTTATTCATACAAATTCTTCATGAGTTCCCATCATGTTAGCCCATGAGGATCTAAACACAAGTCAAACAAGTCTTTTCCCTTGTAAAAGGAAGACAGTTAAGCAAAGAAGACACTCATAAATAGTCACCAAAAAATGTGAGATGTTACACAAACAAGAGCTTGAAAGCATAGAGTAACAAGCAATTAAATATTCCTATAGTTGGAAAAGGATCTGTAGATCAATTAGGTTGAGGTCTTGAAGGATAAGTAGAATAATACTTCTTAAAGTGTGATGCCAGACCAGCAGCAAGAGGACCACATGGAAACTTGTTAGAAAGGCAACTTCAGGGCCCAGATCAACTGAATCAGAAACCTGGAAGTGGGCGTCCAAGAAGCTATGTCTTAACAAACCCTCCAGGTTATTCTAATGAACACTAACGCTCCAGACAACCACTGAAACACAAGGTCACCAGGCAGATGAGAATTGAGAATGGTAACATTTAAAGCAGGACACGTTTGGACAACAAAGGAAAATGCTGCATGACAGGAGTATCACAAGCTTAGAGGTGAGAAACATGGATGAGAATGGTGCAGTACCCTGGGGTCCCCGGATAGTGAAAGTCTTATGTATCATGTTAAAGAGTTTGGACTTATTAAGGACAGGGATTAGGAGTATTACAGAAAGCCTAATTTCCTTTTCCTTGAAATTTCTGCACAGAAAGTGGGTAGCACACATACATAATAAAACATGAATGAAAAGGTGCTACTAAAGATGTTTGATCAAACCATTAACAATGTGTTTAGAATGGATTCTACTATAATGAATTCCATACACTATTGTCATTTAAAGCAGCTCTGGTCTAGTGAGCAAATGCTGGATTTTGAGAGAGGGGGACTAGTGATTCCTGGCTGGGTTGCCTGGGAAAAACAATTTAATTTTACTGAAATTCAGTTTTCTTATGCAGAAAATGGGCAAAAACACGTTCCAAGAGTTGTGAAAACTAAATGAAAGAGGCATGTCAAAGTCACTGTGAACTTTAAAGCATATATATACTGCAAGATACTCTTGTTAATATAACTTAATTCTTCATTCTTTCTGTGGATTAAACACAAATAAATATATCAAAGGGGTATTCTAACTTCTGGGAAAATATACACATCAGAAATAATTCTTTTCTATGCCAAAGAAGTTGTTGACTAGGTTAGGCTACAAATCTAAACCCAGAACCCACCAAAATTGAAAAGAAGGAAGAACAATCCAAGGGTCAGGGACTCAGAGAGGAAGAGAAAATCCAGATCTTGCTGCCTCTGGCCCACATTCGTGTGTAGATATAATTAAAAAATGACAGTTAATGATAGCACAGGCAGAACTAGGGACAAAATTTGGGCCACTGCACTAAAGGTAAAAGTATTTGAGTTTTGCACCTGGATAAAAATGAAGATCAGACTAAAGGCTGATCCTAGACACAGATAAGAGAAAGCCTTCCGATTAATTACACTCAGACTCCAGGATTAGAAGAGTTTCCAATTTCAGATGCAAAGGCAGAATTTTACCATCAACAAAGCCAAAGGGGAAATGACATTTGAAAACCAACAGATAGAGTATTTTCCCTTCTCCTGGCTGAAAGCCAGGTACTCAAGCCAAAAGGAGAGGATTCAAAGTCAGTTAAAAGCAGAAGGAGTAATTGCAGACATTCTGCCAAGTTGTGGGTAACACAAAAACCCCTGACTTCTTTGGGGACCTGGCTTTAGCTGTAAGGTCCTTAGAAAAAAATCAATAAAATGAAAATACAGATACCAGTGCACAAAACATATCAAAATCTATCAGGCTCCTTAGTATTAACAGGGGACCTTAATCTCTCATTTCTTCCTTTGTATAAATGCACCTTACTGTTATTTTAGTTGCAGCAGTTCATGATGCCAAATCCAGGCAGTGCCAAAGTATTGCAGACAAGAATGAAGCTAAGACATGGTTTAAAGAATATTTTGGTTTTATTAACCACATTAACTAAATAAATGTATAAATCCTTCTGGTGTTATATGTAAGTCCTCAGAGATGTTTTTAAACACTTTTTTTTTCCTGATTGCAAAGGCTGGACCCTGTAGTTGAAAATTTGGAGTGTCCAGAACATAATGAAAGAAATAGTAATTATGGGCCGGGTGCGGTGGCTCACGCCTGTAATCCCAGCACTTTGGCAGGCTTAGGCAGGCGGATCACGAGGTCAGGAGATCGAGACCATCCCGGCTAACACAGTGAAACTCCGTCTCTACTAAAAATACAAAAAATTAGCCGGGCGTGGTGGTGGGCACCTGTAGTCCCAGCTACTCAGGAGGCTGAGGCAGGAGAATGGCGTGAACCCGGGAGGCGGAGCTCGCAGTGAGCCAAGATCGCACCACTGCACTCCAGCCTGGGCGACAGAGCGAGACTCCATCTCAAAAAAAAAAAAAAAGAAAAAAGAAAGAAATAGCAATTATGATTTCACTACTCAATGATAACCTATGCAAACAATTTACCATATTTTCATGCAGCCTTTTAACATACATTCATATGGTTTAATTACTTAGCATTATATCATAAGCACTTTTACATATTATTAAAACAGAAACACTTCAAAGACATAATTATAATGCCTGCATAGAATTATATCATCTGAGTATTTGATAATGTAATTTAAACACTTACCTATTGATGAATATTTGACTTTCACCGTTATTAAGAATATTGCAATTAAATTCTTTGTGCATAAACTGTTGGTTATATTCAGAAGGAATTCTTGAAATAGTAGATGCAAATAACAAGTCCTTAACATTTTGTTGTATACTGCCTTCAAGCCTTTTTTCCCCATATACATGGGTACAATTACATGAAAATTACATTACCTTTCTTTCTTTCTGTTTATCTATATCAGAATCTGTCAGACTATTAAAATTTTAAATATTGTCTGAATTTTCACTTAGCATAATTTTAGCATTTTCTCTAAACATTTTTTGGAAATGTATTTTTGAATGACTGAATGGTACTGCATTTTATAGAATAACAATGATCTGCATAACAATATTCTTACTATTCGGTAGGTAGATTAGCCAGAACTTGACACCAATTTAAATAACATTGAAATAAAGTAGTATTCAGATTTTTATAAGTATTTAAGATGTGAATAAAGTTAATCAATGCTACAAAAAGTGTGGAATATTTATCTCTAAAAATGCTGTCCAAAAGTGTTATATATTTTTATAAGTCACATGTTAAATAAACTATTCTTTACAGACCACAAGTCAGCTATTAATATTAGCCTTTAAAGACATTGACCACTTTAATCATAGAACATATTATTTTATTTTCCTTCAAAATTTGCTTATTTATAATTTTCCATTTGATGAATTATCTACATATATGGCTTTTGTCTTGTTTTCTCTTATGATTTTTTTATTATTTATATGAGCATGTTATATGCTAGGTATATTAATCATCTACCACATATGACAGATTAATATAAATATTTAATATACAAATGATTTTTGACATATAAAACGTTTACCATTTATATAGCAAATATACTAATGTTTCTCTTTACATTTTTCTCTTTATTTGAATGCTTTAACTGATTTCCTTCACTCTACTATAAGGAGAACATATTTACTTTCAGATACAGTTTTTTGTGTGTGATATCTTTTTGTTCCCACTTAACCTTAAAATCTATATGAAATTTATTTTGGTGTATAGTGCAACAAATGGTCTAAGTTTATTGTTTTTCAAATAGTTATCCAGTTGCTCCAGTATCTTTTATTTAATGGTACTTTCCTCCCTATATTATATAATAGTATATAATATAGTCTATTATACTATTATTTATCAAAATAGGTTATATTAAACAATACATATATTAATATAGTATATCATACATACACTCTCATACGTAGAAGAGGCTCTTTCTGGGCTTTTATACTCTTAGGGTTTTTTCCCCCATATTCTTTACTCAGCATAAAGCTCATTTAAGTAATATTCTTTAGACTACATTTTGAAAAGTAGTAGTGATAATCCCACATATTATATCTTACCAGAAAATTAGCTGTTTTATACATTTATTTCAGATGAATTATATATATTTTTCAAATTCCAAAATGGATGCCATAACCAAAAACTTTTGTAGGAGTTTGTTTGAAATCACATTAAGTAAATACGTTAGCTTAAAGGAAACTCATATCCTTCACGTGCCTTGTGTTTTACAGGGAGGTGATGATAAACTGCATCATTTATTATTTTTTAATGCTCTCTACACCCACCCTGCTAAAGAGCCAATGATTAAATGGCCAACGTGATATACAGCAAAATAAAAGAACAATAAACAGGGATTATCAAACCCCCAGAGATAAAAGGAAGAACATTTTAAGTCTGTAATGAAAGTGGTAGGCTATTTTAATAATTTTATTATGTTCTTAATCTCAATGCAATAAGTAATTTTACCAGAGCACTGCCTTGTTTATATATTAAGCACTTCCCCTGTAAACTACTCACAAGAATTTCCTATTTTTGTGTGTGTACACAGATACCAATTTATCTGCGGAGATTGTGAAGTTATCCTAAATTGGTAAAAGAGACCTAGGTCTCCTTTAATACTACCTTTTTCTAAGAGGTTACTAAAACAGAAATGAAACAAAAACTGAAAGGGAAGACAAGACAGATAATTGAGAGTTTTCAGTGACTGGTAGATTCATTATGCTGATCCTTCTGAAATTGTTATTTCAACTAAGAGCAGCTTGATCAACTGATAAAATCAAGCACTATCAAATTTTTAAATGAGACTTTTCATTAGAGATCAGTGTAAATTCATAGGCAGTTGTAAGAAATAAGACAAATTCCATTTGCCCTTTACCCAGTTGCCCCCATGGTAACATCTCACAATATCACATTCAGGATATTGACACTCATAGTCAAGAAACAGACAATTCCATCATTACAAGCATTCCTCATGTGGCACTTTTATAGCCACAACCACTTTCCTCCCACTTTACTTAACCCCTGGCAACCACTAATCTGTTCTTCATTTAATTTTATGGTTTCAAAGTGGTATAAAAATTAGATCATACATTATGTAATTTTTTGAGATTGGCCTTTCTCACTCAGCATATTTCTCTGGAAATTCATCCAGGCTGTTGCATGTAACTTTCCATTGCATGCCTGTTCTATTTTATTGCTGAATACTATTCCATGGTATGGATGTATCACAATGTGTTTAACCATGCACCCATTAGTGGACACTGGAGATGTTTCCAGTTTGCAGCTATTACAAATAAAGTTGCTGTGAACATTCAACATTAGCGTACAGGTTTCTATGTGAACACAAGTTTTCACTTCTCTATGAGAAAAGCCTAGGAATGCAATTGCTGGGTCATATGGTAGTTGTATGTTTAATTTATGAAATTGAACTCTTTCCTAGTATGGGCTGTACTATTTTACATTCCCAGCAGCAATGAATGAGTAATCCAGTTTCTCCGCATCTTTGCCAGCGATTGGTCTCGTCACTAATCTTTTTATTTTAGCCATTTTGATAGTTGGATAGTGATACCTCATTGTAGTTTTAATTTGCATTTTCTTAATGGTTAATGACCTTGAACATCTTTTCATGTGCTTTTTCACCAAATGTATATCCTCTTTGGTGAAATATCTCTTTGTGTCTTTTGTTCATTTTCTAAAATAGATTGTTACTAAAATTTTTTACTGTTGACTTTTGAGTTACTAGTCCTAGATCAAGTATTTGGTTTGTAAACATTTTCTCCCAATCTGTAGCTTGTCTTTCCATCCTTTTAAAGGGTCTTTTGCAGGGCAAAGGTTTTTAATTTTACAAAGTCCAAATTATCAACATTTCCATTTATAAGTTGTGATCTCAGTATCAAGTCGACCCATTATTTGGCTCACCTTAGATCTGAAAGACACTCTCCTGTTTTTTTCTAAAAGGTTTTATAGGTACATATTTTATATTTAAGTCTGTGATCCATTTTCAGTTGACTTTTGTGTAAGGTGTAAGACTTAGGTGAAGACTTACTTTTTTCTGCCATTGGGCATCCAGCACCATTTGTGGAAAAGGCAATTGAATGACTTTTGTACCTCTGTCAAAAATCACTTGAGCATATTAACGTGTCTATTTCTGAGTTTCCTGTTTGATTCCATTTGGTATTAGGTTTGTTTTCTGTCCGAACATTAGGTCACTGTCCTGTTATCATCTGGCATTTTCAAGATGCAGATTGAAAACTTGACTGTGATTGTCATTCCTATGATAGAATGTTTGTTTATGTTTTTCTTTTTCAAAATCTTTAGGATCTTAAGTCTTGGTATTCTAAAGTTTCATTAGCATGTGTCTGATGTAGGTATTTTAAAATTCATTGTTCTCAACATTATTTGGGCCTTTCATTCTGAGGACGTGCCTTTCTTTAACTCTAGGAAATGTCATGATTATTTTGTCTCATTTATTGTGCTTTTTCCCTCTGGTTTTAGAATTCCTATTAGACAGACACTTAGCTTCCTAAACGGATTCTCTTTGTCTCTTCCCCTTTTTCACATATTATAACTTCTTCTTTCTTTTCCTTTTGGAAGGTTTCCTTGAATTTTTCAACAATTTTGTTAATTAAACTTTAAAATTCCGTGGGTTATTTCTGTCCTTTGATTTCTTCATTTTCCGTATCAGAAAATTATTTTAGAGACTGTAATTCTTCAGTATGTCTGAGGATACCAAGGTAGATATCTTGAAAAGATCTCTTCTCTAAACCATTTCTATTTTCTCTAGGATAATGGTTCTTAGCTAGTGCTGGTTTTGTCCTCCAGAGTATGCTGCAATATCTTTGTCTAGATATTGAGACATTTTTGTTCACAGTGGCCAGGGATGGATGTTGCTTGCTTCTGACATCAATTGGATAGAGACCAGGCATGCTACTTAACATCCTGCAATGTACAGAACACTTCTCCAGAACAAAAGAGTATCTTGCCCAAAATGTTGATAGTGCAGAGGTTGTGAAATCCTGTCTCATGGCTGTTTCCCTTTTTTCTTTCTTTTTTTTCACTTTATATACATATTAATTATCAGGTTAATTAATATAGGTTGTTGGCATGGATTGATCCACTTTCCTGGCTCACTTCTCCGAGATGTGCTTTGCTTTAGCTCTTGCATGGAACATGCAAACCAGTAAGTCCCTCTCCAACTCCCATAACTAGGGCAGAGGGCTGCACTTGGTCGCCAGCCCACACACTTGGAGGCAATGCCCTCCCATGCAGATTGTTGGTTCCCTTTGCAGAGTTCTCCTGCTTTACTTCTGGAGGTAAATGTGCAGTGACATGCAAGGGGTTGGAAAGAGCAAACCTGAGCCATTTCCAAACCTGTGGCCAATCACCTCACTTTCTGTTTGTCTGCTTTTGACCTTGGCTACTCTCTGTATCTGCCAACCAGAACACAGAGCCCAGCTGGGTTCCCTCCTGAAGACTCCTTCAGCTTTAGCAGAGGCCCCTCTTCCTGTTTCTGCTCTCTGGAGTATATGTTCCTCAGTATATTCAGAAATGTATTCTCTTTGTTCTGTCTTTACTGCCATTTCCATGGGATGTTTGAAGGGAGAGTAGACACATGTTTAGCTCAGTCCACAAACTTGAAGTCTCCTCTCACTCGTTTTCAAATTCAGGAAGTTTATTTATGAGGTTCTCTCATTAAAGGATATACCTACGAAATAATCTTAGAAAAGGGGCATCATATATGGAGGAGAATAAAAACTGTAAACAATGTATTTATAAAGACATCAAGGAAAAACGCTGGATTTGTAACATTTGGAACATGATGTCACTTTCCTAGGCCTAGACATTACTTTTAAAATGAGTGGATGTTCTAAATCACTTACTGAATCTTTTCAGTTCAGTTTCTATTATTATAAAGTGAAGGTAGATATTCAGAATAAGACCTTATATTTCAACCATTAAATATTTCTTTAGATCCTCTTTTAATGAGGCCCCATGTGTGACTAGGCTTTCCCTGTGGTACAAAATGGAATAACACACAATGCTTCACCCTGAAAAACCAATATTTATGAGTCTCCTTTGTGTAAATACAGAGCTTTAGGGTTTTCTAATATGCCTTATTCAAATTTTAATGTTTTTCATCAGAAGGAGGTATGAATATGTTAGTCTAAAAATAACTATCAACAGAGAGAAAGACATAATTCTGATAACAGATTTATTAATGGTGGTGATATATAAAATCTGCCATGAAAAGACCCTAGGGCATCTAATAACTTTGATTCAAATATATCGTATTATAGATTATTGTGGCTGATCGTTTTCCTTTTCATAAAAAAAAACAGATTTGGGAAGTTTATCTGTTTGCAAGCTGTAAATATTTGGAAGTTAAATGGTCTGTTTTGCTGCTTAAGGAGAAAAACTGAAGGAAAAAAATGCACTGACCTATTCAAGAGAAGACAATTCTGAACTCTGGAAGCCTCAAAAAGCCAAGCAGACAGTTAACAGTGTTGTGAAATGCATCACTGCTCTCTCAGAAACATATTGCTGGCTTGACTTTCTTTTCAGTCAAGAAAAGAAAAAAAAATTGAAAATGTTAAATTTCCTCACTGTCCTAAAATTCAGAAAGTAGAGGTTTAACAAAGCGTATTCTCTTTTGTTTTGCTGAACTGTGACACCCTTCTGTACTGATATAGGGTGAAATTCATTACAAATATCATCCAGTAGTTTGGGGTATTGTCAACATACTTAATTTAAGCCTTCTAGAACAGTATCTGAAAGCTACTTCAGCGTGAGTTCCAAAATAAGACAATTATCAAGTTATAATGCTGTTGAGGTCAAAAAGCTATCTTTTTGTACATAGACACACACACATATAATAAACACATGTATAATATATTGATATGTAATATATCAACACATGTATAATATTGATATGTAAGACATCAATACATGTATAATATATATTGATATGTAACATATCAATTACATATTGGGTTTATATCCTAGGTTTATATATTGATATGTAATATATCAATATTTATATATGTAATATATATGTTTTCATTATTTTTGAATAAACACAAATAATTTTATTAAAACAATTTTGTAACCTACTTGGAAAACATATTCTAACTTTTAACAACTCTTACTTTCAGAGCATACTTCCTTTATCTAATCTAAATTCTGTATATTGTAATTTAAAGCTATTTCTATCCCCAGTCGAGTTGTAGAATAGCTGGTTAACATTCTCCTTGCAACAATCTCTCATATATTTGACTCCTATCATTAAAGATCCTTACAGCCATCTTTCCTCAGATAAAATGACCCTATAGACCTAACTTCTCTTAAATCATATTTTCTAAGACATGAATCATTTTGAAGGTCCACCTTAGGACTGCTCCCAGTTCTGAGTATCCCTCTGTGTTTCCCCCTAAAACTTTTATCTCCTACTTACTAGCACCTACGAGAGTGATCTTCTCTATATGTGTAGTTACAGGGCAAGCTAGGAACTCGAGTACCTTTAATCTAAGAGTTCAATAATTTCCACTCTAAGAATATCCACACCACCCCTAAATCTGTGTCAGAGAGCTGGGAAATAAAGCTCAAATAATAATAACTGAAAATTAAAATCTTATTGATGTATTATACAGGACTTCCTTTTTTCTCTCTCTTTAACAATAGTGAGCATTTATTGAGCGCCTGAAAGCTTTTAAAATACTGTACTCTAATTCTGCCTTTTCTCTTATGTATGTTTGTCGTTACTATTCTATCTCACAAATTGTTGGTCTCTATCACGGGAAAACCATCTGCTATCTCATTCATCTGCATGCTGATTTTCAGCCTTTTCTGTAACAGGAAACAGGACAAAACTAACAAGCAGGGGTCCCAGGATTACATGGAAAATGCCAAAGAAATCTGTTCACTGATTAAGTTTTCTTTTCTTTCCTAAGCTGATCTAAACCCAAGAAAACCTATGGTATGTCTCCTGAGTAATTACCGTGATAGCAAGAAGAGGAAGCCAATGTGCAGAAAGCCATCAGAGAGAATGTTAAGCCAAGAGGAGGGTTTGTAATTCACTAGACCCAGATAATATGTTGATGATGGAAAGAAAATCAACTGCAGCCTGAGTTTACTGTTAACAGTCCTCTTCCAGATAGGAATCCTCAAAAGCTTAGTGACAGGTTTCTCACTGTGTTGCTTCTCCAAGATTTGGAGAAGCTTTGTAGCTTCCAAAGCATGCATGATCTAGAGCATGCATTCGAATCATTGATGATGCCTATTCCAAGCTAGCTACCATATTCTAATCATGTTGCTCCCCCTCCGAACACATATCAGGCCTCCTTTAAAAATTACTTAAGAGCCAGCTGCAGAATACACACAACAGACACATTAAAAAGATACTAATTTATTTATGGCTGGAGCTGATTATCCTATTCATTTTAGCAAACTTGATTGCCTACCCTTGTCATTAAAAGCAGTTCCAAATTATTTTTGCTGTTTTCTAGGAATCACACATGCTCTTCTTTATACTGTTTTCATAGTTTCCTTATTTTTCTCAAAAATTGAACAAGAATTTATTTTGTAATCATACAAAGACTTAACCCCGGTGTATATATTAAAAAGTAACTGTGTGAAATTGGCAAAGCTACAAATATAGAAAAAAATACACTAAAACATTAACATGGATCATCTCTGGATGAGTGATTATTTGCTTCCTTCTACATTTCTACATTTTCCACACTGTTAATAATGAGGATATAGTTATTCTACCAGAAGACATACCTTAAAACATTCTTCCATGCTATTATTGTTGGTAGCCAGCAAGCAATGTTATATTAATGTTAACACAACTGTTCAATTAACTCTGGACATGGAAAACTGACAAATAGAAGGGATTAATTTTTAATATCCTACCTTACTAAGGAAAATAATTTAATATTGTTCCCTCTTCACTAATTCTTACTCATATCCTGAGAAAAAATCATATTTACTAATGAAAACAAATACATTTGTTTCTTGTTTCCCTTAACCAGTCAAAATTCTTAGTATATGTGTACACCTCTATTGGTTTATGCTCTGTCTCCATTTCAACCAGATTACCCAGCAGTGTGACTTTCTCCGTAATATTAATAACCCTATTTTAAGACCTCAGAAATTCAAGACCATGGAGTAATACAGTGGTGTACTGAAAACAGGCTTCCTACATGTATTTCTTCTAATACACTGCAAACACAACTCAGCAGCAAAACACAACTGCATAAGGAAGACTCTTTTCATTTTTCCCAGGATTTAGCAAAAAATCAGGACATACTAACTGTACTAGGCTTATCTGCTGAACAGCATGACTATGGATGCTATGGAGAAAACTGTTGCCTGCTTCTCCTTGGCACCTCTATACTTACCAATATATGTGATGAGAGTGCCACTGCGGGAAGCAGAAGCTATGGGTATCATCTTCTCTCATAAAGAATTGTGGACATTTTGTTTGGATAGGGAAATAATCCTTGGCAGGAATTTATTAGTCAACTCTTTATAATACAAACAATCCCAATAGAACTTGAAATTGGGAAGTGGACATTTTTTTTTCTTTCAACAGTGATTCTAAAGGTTTTCCACACAGTGACCTCTTTTGTATCTAAATGTATTTTATAAACAGCTTGACTGTATCTCCTTACACTTCAGATTTTTTTTCTGCTTTCCTGTCCTCCAGTAACTATTCATTTACTGTGCTGTTATTTCCACAACCATCCCTTCTGATACATCCAAAAATAGTTTGAAAGCCAATTATCTTAAAATTATTTGCTTAAATGTACAATTTTATAGCATGAGAGATCCATTTCTGATTTGATAATTGCTTAGGCCTTATCGAAATCATACTGCACTTCATGAGTCTGCATCTATTGGTAGCATTAAATTCAGTGGTTGACAACACATTCTAGAAAGAAACACAATTTCTTCTTATTCGTTGCTTATTTACTTGAAACTGGATCACTGAAAAACTCCATACCCACCAAGCATTGGCTTATAAAACTGATAAACTGATGTGCATTTTTACAAAGCCATAGTTACTCTAAAATCACTCCATAAAAGTCTTTTTTCTCTTTTATACAGTATTTCCTTTCTTTTAGCAATTCTTGCTGTATCTTCAGTTCTAATTCCTACTTTTGGTTCTCTTCAGTGGCCTCATTAACTTTTCTAGCACAATGTAAAAAAAAATGTCAAATGGATTACTCCAAATGCACACAATACAGAATAAATGTAATGTTTGATCCATACATTCCATAAGAAATTACAATGATTTAACTGTTATGCTATAAACTGGGAAATTATCAAATATATATGTGGCTACCTCCATTTGCTGTGTGTTTCAGATCAGCTTAGGGTTGTAGGCTTCATTTTTTTACATAAATTTAGCTGATCAAATGCAAGTCAGGAGAGAAAGTGAAGGCAAAAAGGGAGTGGTCACATTGACTTGGAGGTGGGAGAAAAGGCAGTTCTGTCAAGGTTTCTTACAGGAATTGATGCTTGAGTTGAATCTTGAAATAGGAGGAGCCATTACTCTGAGATCAGGCTGCATGGCCAGTTGACCCCTCTGAGGCCTGCTTTGGCGATCAGAGATCAAAAATGGTTGTTGACTCTTTGATTAGAAGACTTCAAGAGCTAGAGCTACCACCTTGATTCCTAAAGAGGCCTTTCATTATTTCTTTGAGTTGCAGTTTTCATTAGGTATTACTCTCTCCAGGGCCCAAAGTTATTCAAAATCCTGAAGCTTATTTTACACGAGGCCTCAAAATAAATAATTTCTAATGCCAAATAGGATTCCCTTGAAATTTGCCAAAAAGCATTCCTAATATTTCCCAGAAACAAAAACCAAGATAACACGTCATTACTTTTTGAATGTAAAAATTCATTGGGGGCAGCAATAGGAAAGGAATAGGAGCCCGTTCATGTTCAGGATCTAAATAGTAATAATCAAAACATTTACTGATCAACTGTTACATGCAGAAACAGAGTCTCACTCTCCAGAGGAAATAAGCTAATGAGGAATACAAGCATACAGGCAAATGAAATATGCCTGTGGGAGAATATTCTAAGTGCCAACCAAAGATGCTAAGATGTTACAGAATCACAAGAATTCTATTAAGAGACCATTCCGTCAAAACTAAATTTTAAAGCATTTAAATAAGGAAAAACAGTCTATCTGTGGTGGCTGGGATTCTTTTACATCATAGAATTTAGGTCAGAGGAAAATGGGAATTTCAAAACAACAGAGATCTTAAGTAATAACTATCTTTAATGCCCTCCAACCAACTGAACAGCAGGATCTAAGAACATTTCATTTCAGATTAACCCACCTCCCTTACTACTTGCTGAAAAACAAAAGCGTAAATTATTGTGTAAGTTCAAAATAAATAAAATTACTTGATTGGGCTACTCTGCTTCTTCTTCAAATAAAAGGAACACTTTTGAAACAGCTCAGCTTCTCCAAAAGTAATGTATTATCTGGATTTGTCACACATTACACATCTTACTGATAACATTTTTCAAGCATAGGCATACCTTAGGGATATTACAGGTTCAGTTCTAGTGAACTGAATAATAAAGTGAACATCATAATAAAGCAAGTCACCTGAATTTTTTGGTTTCCCAGTGCATACAAAAGTTGTACTATACTGTAGTCTATTAAGTGTGCAATAACATATCTGAAAAATGTACATACCTTAATTTGTAAATACATTATTGCTAAAAATGCTAATGATCATCTGAATCTTCAGAAAGTCATAATCTTTTTGCTGGTGGAGGGTCTTCCCTTGATGTTGATGGCTGCTGACTGATCAGGATGGTGGTTGCTGAAGTCTGAGATGGCTGTGCTAATTGTTTTTTTAAAGACAACAATGAAATTTGCTGCTTTAACTCTTCCTTTTATAAAATATTTCTCTGTGGCATATAATGCTCTTTGATAGCATGCTACCCACAATAAAATTTCTTGAGAAATTGGAGGCAATCCTTTCAAACCCTGTTGCTGCTTTATCTACCCAGTTTATGTAATGTTCTAAATCCTTTGTTGTCATTTCAATAATGTTCACAGGATCTTCATCAGGAGCAGATTCCATCTCAAGAAAACTTATTTTGCTCATCTGTAAGAAACAATTCCTCAATCATTCAAGTTTTAGCATGAGATTGCAACAATCCAGTCACATCCACAGGCATCACATCTAATTCTAATTTTCTTGCTATTTCCATCACACCTGCAAATACTTTCTCCACTGAAGTCTTGAACTCCTCAAAGTCATCTGTGAGGACCGGAATCAACTTCTTCAAAACTCCTGTAAATGTTAATATTTTGACCTCCTCCCTTGAATCATGAGTGTTCTTAACGGCATCTACAATGATGAATCCTCTCCAGAAGCTTTTCAATGAACTTTGTCCACATACACCAGAGGAATCACTATCTATGGCAGCTATCACCTTAAAAAATGTGTTTCTTCAATAACAAGACTTAGACGTTGAAATTGCTCCTTGGTCCAGGAGCTACAGAATGGATGTTGTGTTAGTAGGCATGAAAACAACGTTCACCTTCTTGTACATCTCCATCAGAGCTCTTGAGTGACCAGGTGTATTGTCAATGAGCAGTAATATTTTTAAAAGAGTATTTTTTTTTTTTTTTTTTTTTTTTTTAGTTTTTGAGCAGTAAGTCTCAACAGTGGACTTAAAATCTTCAGTAAATCATGCTATAAACAGATGTGCTGGCATCCAGGCTTAGTTGTTCTATTTATAAAGCACAGGCAGGATAGATTTAATATAATTCTTAAGGGCCCTAAGATTTTCAGAATGGTAAATGAGCATGGGCTTCGACTTAAGGTCACCTGCTGCATTAGCCCCTAACAAGATAGCCTGTCCCTTGAAGTCAGTCATTTCCTTATTCTCTCCAGCTATTCAAAGCCAAGATGGCATCTTCTTCCAAAAGAAAACCCTTTTGTCAACACTGAAAATCTCTTGTTTAGTGTAGCCACCTTCATCAATAATCTTAGCTAGATCTTCTGGATAACTTGCTGCAGCTTCTACATCAGTATTTGCTGCACCACCTTGCACTTTTATGCTATGAGGATGGCTTCTTTCCTTAAACCTCATGAACCAACCTCTGCCAGGTTCCAACTTTTCTTCTGCAGCTTCCTCACCTCTAAGCTTTCATAGAATTGAAGAGAGTTAGCTTTGGCTTAAGAGAATGTTGTGGCTGATCTCCTATCCAGACTACTAAAACTTTCTCCATATCAGCAATTAGAATGTCACACTATCTTATCATTTGTGTATTCGCTAAAGTAGTTCTAGTTTTCTTCAAGGACTTTTCCTTTGCATTCACAACTTGGCTAACTGGAACAAGAGGCCTAGCTATTGGCCTATCTCAGCTTTTGACATGCCTTCTTTATTAAGCTCAATCCTTTCTAGGTTTTGGTTTAAAGTGAAAGATGTGTGACTCTTCCTTACACTTGAACAGTTAGAAGCCATTATAGGGTTGTGAATTTGCCTAATTTCAGTATTATTTTGTCTCAAGGAATAGGGAGGCCTAAGGAGAGGGAGAGTGATTGGGGAACAGCTGGTTGGTGTAGCAACTATTACACACAACATTTACCAACTAAGTTTGCAACCTACATGGGCATGGTTTGTTGTGCTCCCAAACAATTACAATATTAACATCAAAGACCACAGATCACCATAACAGATTAATAATAACTTTTGAAATATTTCAGAATTACCAAAATGTGACAAAAAGTGAGCACATTCTGTTGGAACAATGGCACCAATAGACTTGCTTGACATAGGATTGTCAAAAATCTTCAATTTGTAAAAAACACAATATCTGCAAAGCATGATAAAGCAAAGTGCAATAAAACCACATATGTCTGTACTCAAGATCCTGGAACGGAAACTTAAAAATGTTGAATAAATGAATGAATGAATGAATGTTAAATAAAAGAATAATTTTCTAAGTTGATGCAAAGTTGTGGGACTCTGTTTCTCATACTCTATCCCTTCTATCAACTAAATTTTGTGACTCAATACACTAGATCAATCCAAGATAGACAAATGCATATACTCCAGTCCATTGATTTCTATCTGTATTCATACATTTTCAAAAACAATATTATTTATGCTGTCAAACACAAATACTCCTTTAAGCCATTCAAATATTTTGTATAACTGAGTAATCAGGACATGCTACCCATAGCAAAACAATGAACAGGAAATGCTGAGAATAATTGTGAGATCTCATATTTAAAAAATAACTAAAGAGATCTTGTTCCAGGTGATTACTTAAATATTTGTTATATATGACTTTTGCCTAACTTTGTGTGGATGACGTTAAACATCAAAGTCTTCATATGTAATTTGTAATAGTCTGTTTTATTGAAGGTTCAGACATGGAGAGGGGATTTAACATTGAGAACACCTATGCACTGGGTGCTTAATATATAGGATCTCACAAAATCTTCACAGAAAATCTTGTGTGATAGGTACTATTAGACCCATTTCTTCACTTGAAGAAATAAACAACCAGAGAGTAGCTTTCGTAAGCTAAAATCACACGGCTGGTAAGCGGAAATATAATGTTAATTCATGGTCGTATGCTGCCAAAACCCATGTTTGTCTACATTAACTACTCCACCCTTCTTAGAGAAGGCCCCCAAAAGCTAAAATGGTGGCTGGCACTCACTGTAAGCTTCATAAAAGCAGAGTCTCTGCCCCCTCCCTATAAAACAATCACTAAAACATATCAGATTTTCAATACACATTTATGTCATGAATACATTTGACTCTTAAATGCTCTCAGTAATGGGATTGCTGGGTCAAACGGTAGTTCTGCTTTTAGCCCTTTGAGGAATCGCCATACTGCTTCCCACAATGGTTGAACTAATTTACACTCCCACCAATAGTGTGTAAGGGTTCTCTTTTCTCTGCAACCTCACCGGAAAAGACACATACATGCCAATGTTCATTGCAGCATTGTTCACAATAGCAAAGATATGGAATCAACCTAAATGCCCATCAATAATAGACTGGATAAAGAACATGTGGTACATATACACCATGGAATAGTATGCATCCATAAAAAAGAACACAATCATATATTTTGTGGGAATATGGATGGAGCTGGAGGCCATCATCCTTAGCAAACTAATGCAGAAACAGAAAACCAAATACTGCATGTTCTTACTTATAAGAGGGAAGTAAATGATAAGAACTTAGGAACACAAAGAAGGAAACAACAGACACTCAGGTCTACTTGAGGGTGGAGGGTAGGAGGAGGGAAGCGGAGCAGAAAAGATAACTACCAGGTACTGAGCTTAATACCTCAATGATGTAATAATATGTACAACAAACCCCCATGACGTGTTTATCTTTATAACAAACCTTCACATGACCCACAAAAATCACATTTTTTAAATAAGGAATTAAAAAAATGCTCTCTACCTCTTCCAGATCTGACCCTGGATCAAAGTTTGATGGGCCTGAGAACTAGCTGGATCACCTGGATGGAAAGATCTTGAGTGGCAGAAAATGTGGATAACCCATCCCTGCATCACTGGACTCCAGTGCTACAGAAATGCTCATCAGAGAAATGCACATCAAATTAGTAAGGACTTTGTAGTCTTACAAGACTTAAACAGATTACATTCTAGTAATCTAGTTTTCCCTCTTCTCTGAGTACAATTGACTTCACATTAATGGGTAAAGTTATCTTTCATTGGAATAAAGACTACAGAACACACTAGCTACCTTCTGATCCCAATAACTCATCCCCTCCACCTAACACTGCTATAGGAAATTGGCTGTGTTGAACAGAATCGAAAATGTTCCTCAATTATCCTTGCAGGTGAGTGGTCATCCCTTGTGTAATGCGTGCCCCTTGAGTACATGTGGAATCTATACCTTACTTGTCACCAATGGAATACAGCAAAGATAATGGGATGCCACTTCCTTTTTTTGTTTGTTTGTTTTTTTTTTCTTGAGATGGAGTCTTGCTCTGTCGCCCAGGCTGGAGTGCAGTAGCGCGATCTCGGCTCACTGCAAGCTCCGCCAACAGGATGCCACTTTCATGATGACATTACATAAGATTATATGTTCTGTCTTGATTTCAGACTTTCTCCCTTTGTGGCTTCAATGAAGTAAGTGGCCATACTGAAGAGAGCTGCACGGTGAGGAAGTAAGCGAAGCCTTTATCCAGCAGACAGCAACAAGTTGAGGTCTGTAGTCCAACAGGCCTCAAGGACCTCGATTCCTACATGAACTGCATGACTCATGAAATAGATCCTTTCCCAGCCAATCTTACAAATTAGACTGCAGCTCTGGCCACCATCTTGATTGTAGCCTTGCAGATGTTGCAGCTAAACCATACTCAGACTCCTGAACCACAGAAACTCTAAGATGATAAATGTGTGCCACTCAGTTTGTGGCGATATTACTATATAACAATCGATAAATAGTATATTGCCCCATAATTCTACTTGTACTAGAAGATGTAGCAAATTCCCCTGAGTATACTGCTTTTTTATTTCAGGGCTTTTTGGCCCTATCAAACGCAACTCCTTATTGCACTCGTACATAATTTAATGCCTCTTTCATTATCATAGACATAATAAGTTACATCATCTATGATTTGAAATTTATAGATAATACAACCTATCTGTATACAAAATTTAAAAATCAATATAATGTCCCAAGTATATCATAAAAAAGATGTAAGGTTATTAATTCAGAATAAAATTATAAGAATTTCCATATATAGCAATAGAAAAAAACTATATTTGAAAACATAGCAAAGTCCTGGGTGCCTGCACCCATAATTAGAATCGTGAGAATACAGTAACTACAGTTTGCATGCAGACTGACGGTTTGTACTTTATTTCTATCTTAAATGCCACAAACACTATTGTCTTTAGATAGGTCGTTTTCTGAAATATTGAGCATCTCCTGGAAAAATTCTGAACAAAATAAGTTTTGTCAATTTATACAAGTTGTTTTCTGGGAAAACTTACAGCATATTAAAATAGCAAAAACAGTACTCTGCGATTTAAGTAAAATAAAATCTAGGCTCCGATGATTATAAACAGTCTCTAACCTACATCAAAATCCAGTGGGTCATTCAAATATTTTAGGAGAAGCAGGAGGATTCCTTTTGAGAAAGATTGTCACATGCATCACAGGGCACCCAGCAACCTTGCCTTTTACTAGTCATTGAGATGATAAAATAAAATTCTGATACATGTATAAAATACCTAGGATGGAACACTGCCGCTGTCAAGAACCACTGCTCTAATTGGAATTATGCTCCTGATCAAAGATTTGTTATTAGATGTATGACCAAACATATGTCACAAAATAAGCTACAAGTATATGCCTCTAGAGTACTTTATAGAAGTAAGATTTTCTTACAAGTCCAATAGAGTGGGCATTAAAATATATATGTAAATATACTTTTATGATAATTTATATATATTATCTATTTCATACACACACACACACATACATACATGGAGAGAGAGACACAGAGACAGAGAGAGAGAGATAACCAAAAGAACAGAATATATACAGAACATAAAAACAAACACATTTCAAATAAGCTGTTGAAGTGGATGATTCTTAAGGTCCTCTCCACCCCTGAGATGTGTGATTATATACCAGCTCATAAATACGGCATAAAAACAACTTGCTTGTTATAACACTAAAGAATTAATCAATAAAAATGTTGCTGGTGTCTTCGGAGTTCGAAATGGCTTTCTAAAAAAGTTAATTTGCTTATATTTATAACAAGGCCATCAACTTTGAAATTATTCCTTCTTATTCCAAAATAAATATTCTTCTATCAAGCAGGTAATTAAAGATAACGGTGCACTTTTTAAAGCTACACTGGAATTTGGTATTCTTTTCACAATTATTCTCAGATCTAAAGATTTCTTTATGTGATTTGGATGTGTGTCTTGAATGGTAATCAGCTATTCTTTCCTTTGCTCTTGCCATTCCCCAACCCATTAAAACAGGGTAAATATGTAAAAAAAGAAGTGTAAAATGAGTCATCTCAGCGTGTACTTAAGAAAGTATGCACACACTTTGAGTAGAGATGGCAGTGGAGTTTGACTTTATTTATGTATATGTATATTTTTTAACCAAGTGTCAGAACTACTTTCTTTTCCACCTCTGGCTGGTTCTACAAGAATCATTTAGCATCATCAATGTGGTACCCTTCTTTAAGAGAGTGAGAGAATGCAGAGAGAAGTGAATTATTGGGTAGATAATGTCAAATGCAAAACATTTATTTTTATCATTAATTCAGCCTCCCAAGCAATATTTATTAAGTAAAAATTTCTACTGCTTGAATATTTTTTAAATTTTCTCAGCCCCACTGGTCTAGTGTGTATCCACTCCATAACTAATAGTGTTACAAGAGTCATTATTTACTCTTCCATTCACCCATTTATTCACTCTCTCAACCAGCAAACTTTTTATTCACTATTACAAGTAAAATATTGAATATTCTAAATGTGATAATCAAAGACACTGAAGCACATACAGATATTAAATCAGAATGTTTTGCTTGTTACTCAAATGAATAGAAAGCTTTTGAAGGATTTTCCAACCTCAAACAGAAATTGATGACCTCCTTTAATGCTTGCAATAACCAGTTAGGTAATTGCTATTATTGCCTCCATATTTTTAAATGGGGAAACTGAAGTTTCACAATATTGGGTAACCCTAACAAGCTTAGACAGCTGGTCAGTGATCTTAAGTCATATCCTAACTTAGGCTCATTTTACTACAAATGTTGTGCTCTTAAGCAATAGGTCAAGATTGTTGAGAAATCTTCAAATAGGTCATATAAACTAACTGACTTTTAATTGGTCCTAGCTCTAGATGCTTCTGTGATCAATTCATTTCTTCCAATTGTTTGTTTGTTTGTTTGTTTGTTTGTTTGTTTGTTTTTTAGGACAGAGTGATCTGATGCCTATTTCTACCTCCTGCAGATCTGAATCTGCCCCCTGCTATCATGAGTAGGAGACAGATTCCCAGAACACAAACCTAGGTGTCTCTCAATAGCAGCCATCTGCTTCTCCCGGAAACACAGCAACTTTTTTTCTGAAAATGTTTTATTGAGAAATGCATGCTTATCTCTAATTCCTCAGGGGAATTTCCTTGTAGGGACATGAGTTACTTGCCTTCAGATGAAAACCTAAAGAAGAAAAGAACAAAAACAAAGCAAGGCCAAGAATCATCCTCCGAAAGTCTCAGGAACACCCAGGAGGTCTCACACAATCACAATCCAGAAATTAGTTTCTATCAAACTGTGCTTCTTGTCTGAAACTCCTCCTGTAGTTGACTCTAAACTTGCCACATAATCGCAGAGGAGACAGGAAGAAAAGAGAACCCACTGAAGGCATCGCCCGCCACCTCGATGCATGATCTCCGTGCTGAGGCAGACCTGTTTTTTGCCATGTTTAGGTCTCAATTATTAATCAAGAAGAGTTTTCTCAGCTCCTAACCTCAAAAGCACAAGTTGACAGTCTGGGTCTTACAGTGCTGTTCGTGATCTAAAGGAAATTCATTATAAAGTGGCCTTTCTTTATAGAGGAAGACATATTCTTTCTTTATTGTTGCCTCTCAAGCCAGACTCCCTGCCCAGTCTGGAGAAAGATAATATTTCTCCTAAGAAGACAATATTAATGAACTCAATTCGGAGAATACAGTTGCCCGGGCTGAGGCAAAGAGACTCAAAGCATGCCTTGGGTCCCAGTTTTGCTTTTATAATTTCCTTCACTGAAGGAATGGTGGAGAATGGATAAAGGGATGCCCTAAAAGCTATATTCCCAGAGGCAGGAGTTCTCCCTCTACACTAGGCTCTCCAGAAATTAGGGGAAAGGCAGCTTCCTCAACGGCATCACTTAGATGGCCACTCTCTTTGTTTTCCTGGAAAAGGGTGCTGGCAACTATGAAAATGACAACTAGAACTCTGGGATAACCTTGTCATTTTTATGCATGTTGATTCTTGGTTGTTATTTGCTTGATACTGATCTAGAAGGGCAAATATGATTTTAAAGAAAAGTATAAGAAGCTCTGTGTCTCAGAATGACATCTGATTCATCACAAAGGATTTCCCTGTTTATTCCCCAGTGAGTCACATGTACACAGAAATGAGGGAGACACTTTAAAAGACATGGAAATAGAAGGACAGTTACCAGAGGCTGGGAAGGATAGTGGGAGGGTTGGGGTGGGGGAAGGTGGGGATGATCAATGGGTACAAAAAAATAGCTATAAAGAACAAATAAGACCTACTATTTGATAACACAACTGGGTGACTATAGTCAATAATAATTTAATTGTATTTTTAAAAAACTAAAAATGTATAATTGAATTGTTTGTAATACAAAGCAAAAATGTTTGAAGGGATGGAGACCTCATTCTCCATGATGTGATTATAATGCATTGCATGCCTGTATTAACACATCTCATGTACCCTGTAAATATTAGGTTGATGCAAAAGTAATTGTGGTTTTTGGCTATATACACCTACCATGTACCCAAAACAACTAAAAATAAATTAAAAGACATTTCTGCTATAATACACTATGCCTCAAATCTTCTTATTTTTCAAAAATCCAGACATGTATATAAAACTTTATTTCATCCATTACTTTAAATTTTAAAAACAGCATTAGCATGAAGCAACTTGCCAACTGACTATTAAGTCTCTTATTTATGGCATGCTTTTGTTAAGCAAATATCATGCCAGTTAATTCACTAGCATGACCCCACTGATCTCACTGAGCCCGAGGAAAGACTCATTCGCCTGAATTTGTAGACATGCAAAACATCATGGGAAATCTTGTGTTTCTTTCATAAAATGAAAATTGTGCCCTAAACGCAGACACGATTCAATTACACAAATGATCAGCCAAGGTCCCTTTCAGCTTTCTGATGCAATGAAAATAGCCTTACATATTTATCGAAGACTCCAACAGAAAATCACATTTTCATTGATGGATCAAGGAGCACAGGAACAAGCAAAATGAAAAAGTAAAAATCTGTAACTTAAGAAGAGAGCAAGACTTTTATTGAAAAAATATAATTTAAAAATGGAAATACCATTTTAACATAGGTAGACTGTGCTATTGTTTCAAATGTCAGTAATATTCTGCCACTTTGGGAATATTTTAAAACACACAAATTCCTCTGCACACTAGTTTTCTGATCAACAACTTCACAAATGTAATACTGTCCTATTTCCTTGCTTTGCTGCCAAGTGGTGACAGGCATGTCTGAGTACCTGCTAGTCTTTTATAGGCATTCAGACCCATTTCACAAAACAAATGTCAGCATTCTTGTTCTTCTCAGCCTCTCTTCCTATGAAAATCCAAGCCCATGCCCCTCCTTGTTTTGTTTTGTTTTGTTTTGTTTTTCAGACGGAGTCTCGCTGTGTCACCCAGACTGGAGTGCAGTGGTCTGATCTCAGCTCACTGCAATCTCCGCCTCCCAGGTTCAAGCGATTCTCCTGCCTCAGCCTCACAAGTTGCTGGGATTATAGGCGCACGCCACCACGCCCGGCTAATTTTTGTATTTTTAGTAGAGACGGGGTTTCACCATGTTGGTTAGGCTGGTCTCGAACTCCTGACCTCGTGATCCACCCACATCAGCCTCCCAAAGTGCTACAATTACAGGCATGAGCCATCGTGCCCAGCCTCTCCTTGTTTTTAATACTGATTTTATTGCTCTAGCAGTGAAATAAAAAATTTTAAATCCCATCTCCATCTCTATTCTACAAGAATACCTCCTACATCTGATTCTATTCTTGCAACTCCCAAAACTTATTTCGTGTCTCTAATCTAAATATTTACAGTGTATAATTGAGGTGAACTACAGCTGTATGTACCCTTTGCTAGGCCTTAGGATTAATAAGAAGTATGTGAAACATGAGTTTTCTCCTTCTGAAAAGTTTTTTAAATTAAATTATGTACCATTATTTGATTGGCCCAAGAAATTCAAAATTATGCATAAGATTTTATATGAAACCAAATATGCCTTAATCTGAGAATAGGAAAGGGAGAGAATTCAAAGACCTAGTTTTGATTTACAGAATGATGAATGGCCATGATTAAATACTTGGATGTATTTGAAAATTCACAACCAATGAGAAGTGTTAACTATGCTTCATTATTTGTCATCCCAAGTTTACATAGCACTGTTTTCAAAATGTTTTGAATGGATGATCTATAATTATGATGAACTCTGTATTCCTGTTTCCATGCTTTACTCTTACATTATCTCAGAAGACTGAATAAATTGAGGTTATCCACTATGACTTTTCCACAACCATCATCATCTCTCTCTCTTACTGGTTGCACATAAAATATGATTTATGAAGGAAGCACTCATGGTTTTCTATATGTCTGTTTCTCCCCAAAAGGAAGAAAAAAATAGCTCATTTTTTTGTATTCCACAGTAACTCTTTCTCTGGGCAATGTTGAAAACTAACAGATGCCACCAGGAAAATGAAAAACTTTTATTTATTCTGGACCTACTCTTGAAACAAGGCTGCCGTGAGGAAGTAATTGTCAGACTTTCATAGGCTGCTAAGTCTATTGAATGTTTCTGATGTAGTTGGAACAAGAAAGAAGGAATTTCAGTACTGAGGCCAATAAAAAAAAATGGTAAAAGGATAAAAGTGGAAGGGCTGTCAGAAAGAGTCCCCTCTTAAAGAGGGAAAATGCATAATAAACCTTGTGAACTAATTTCCCATTAATTTAGTTCCTGGTGATAGAAAACAACAGACATGTAATTAAAAAGTTCATTCGCCATCCCCACGGCATCTAAGAATTTATTGAAGAGTAAGTGCTCAGAGCTACTGAGTGAGCAATTACAATGTTAGATGTTGTGCCACATGCATACAGGCCTTTAAGATGCTTCAATCAAAGTCAAGGGAGACCAAGGGCATCTATCAAGGCATCCTAATGGCCTTTATGGTCACTGATTAACATGAGGCAATACTAACCTAGGTAATGCTTCACAAAACAGGATCAAAGTAAAAAAAATAAAAGCCACATTATCCTTTTGAATTCACATTTCTCTCCCTCTTTGAAAGACTTTGTCAAAGTTGTCACAGTAAAAGCAATCAATTTTTTATAAAGGAAAAAATATTAATCATTATGTGTCGTGGGCCAACAGGAATATGTGGTAAACCAATTTCAATTTTTTAGGTATTTTTTAAAAGGAGGAATTAGATATGCATGGAAAAAGAACAAGTTATTAAGGTTAAGAAAATTTTGGGGTTTTGATGGGTTTTGTGGAGTTTGCTTCCTTGCAGTTTTTTTGGTTTGTTTTGTTTTTAAAATAAGAACCACAGTTTTTTAGTGAAAGTCCCAGGATTTGAAAAACTGATGCTGATGGCCTATGGGCAGACTCTGGACACCCCGCTTACCCACATGGTGGAGTGACCCTCTCAGGCAGTAAGAACCCCTGGAATTAGAGAACACCGAGAAAAGTTTAATGCAATATAAATGGCTCCCCTTGCATGGAGCGATTTAGTGGGAAAGCGAGACTAAGGGAGGGCAGTGGATTTTGTGAGATTCTTCTTGAGGGTCTCTTATGGCAACGCAACAAGCAAGCAACAGAGCTGGGGTTGGGTCCAAGCCCTTTTTCATTTACCGTGTCACAGAATGTCTGGCTTTCTTGACAAAAGGAAAACAAGGACGGGCACAGTAGCTCACACCTGTAATCCCAGCACTTTGGGAGGCCAAGGCGGGTGGATCACGAGGTCAGGAGATCAACACCATCCTGGCCATCAGGGTGAAACCCCATCTCTACTAAAAACACAAAAATTGGCTGGGCATGGTGGCACGTACCTGTAATCCCAGCTACTCGGGAGGCTGAGGCAGGAGACTCACTTGAACCCAGGAGGTAGAAATTGCAGGGAGCCTGGTGACAGAGTGAGACTCCGTCTCAAAAAAAAAAAAAAGGAAAATAAAAGTGTGGATCTGACAACACAAGGAAGAAGACAGAAAAATCTTCAGCTACTAACACGTACTCCTTTCTTGAGTATCTCCCAAACCATCATCCTATCACAGAAAACTGATGAGTTTGATTTTGAAATCCTGCTAGTTTCTGCAGTGACACACTTAAGCAGTCTTTTGCACATGAGGTGCATTCGAAATTCTTAGTAAAAGAATGCCTAGCAGCCTACAACAAGGTTTTTCAACAAACAGCCACTAAAAAAAATAAATAAATAAATCAAAAAAATAAAACCCTCTCAAGTTTTACTTTCAAGTGACTCTGAGAAATGCCCTTTAGGAAATGAAGTAAAAGAAAAGCAACAATTTGGCCAAAACTATATGATTGGTTTTATTTTGTGTTTACTTTTTAATAAATTCCTTCCTACATAATTAAAATTCTATAATCAAAAAATATTAATAAAATGGTGAAAATCTGAAAAAGAGCTGGTATTCTTCCACTCATTTCACAAAATGAGCTTTTTCATTTTTCTTCAAGACCAACATACCTCAAGTTTATATTAATATCTTTCCTTCTAAGTTATCTTGAACACTCACTCATTTTTAAACTCCTCCAGAATTTATATAAAAGCATTCTATTTATATCTTTCTATTTTGTATTTTATTAAGCCATCTATGTTATCACACCTATCTCATAATTGGGTTCCTTACCTTCTGATTATGTTAACCCATCTCTAAATATAATTAGACTAAATTTACCATCTGACTACATTCCTTTTTTTTTAATTCCACCATGATCTTCCAAATTCTTTTGTCCTCTTATCTTGCTTCTGCAAGATAAGTGTGTCTGATAAGTTTCCCATTGAAACTAAGGGAAGACTAGCAACCAGAAGATAATCCCATGCCTTCTTCAATAACTTAAAGAAAAACCTAAACTCATTCCTTTTCCTCAGCTCCATACAACAGATTTCCTAGGATCTTGTTATTTTCCCACTTATTTTCTGACAAATTTGCAGTAGCTACATACTGAATCTCATTGTTTTGTTTTCTTGATTGTATTGCTGCTTTTAGAAATGTCTGGAAATTTGTCTTAATTTGGAGGTTCTATAAGGAAATATGAATCCAATAAGGTCACACCCTGCTTTCTTTATCATACTATTTTCTCATGGATGCGCATGTTCAATGCATACTGAAAGGCATTTAGATTTCAAACCTGCCCTGATGGGCTTTTGTACCATCACTTTATACCAACTTAACAATTCCATCATTTAATGAATGAGTTAGCTTTTAGATTGCTGTTTCAAACTTGGTGGAAATCACAAGTGTCTTAGGTAGATATTTCCTATGTACCTAACCAAAAGTTCACATCTAACACAGAGCACGAATAATCCCTGAAAGGCAAAAACGAGGCAAGAGCTTAATGGGACCAGGCCTTTTTTCTCAAAGAGACCATGGAGTAGATAACAAAGCCTTTCCTTGACCAAAGATTGTTTATAGTGAAGCTCTAATTTTAAGAAAATGCTACATAGAATGATGTGGCAATGTCTGGTTCATTCCTACAGAGTGGCATGCTAGTGGGGAAATTACAGGCTGCATCAGAGATGACTCTGAACCTAGAAATGGGTCTCCAGGTGTGGCTGCATGGTCAAGTGACAGCTCATATATGCACACCACCAGCAGGAGTACAAGTTAAGATCTATGCAGTGAGTCTAAGTAGGAACAACATTCTCCAGAGACTAACTGGAGAAGGCATGTCTTGGACTGAATTGCAGTTGGGCAGAGAAGAGCACCTGTGTCTGATAGGAAGAGATTAGAGTACCAAATGCAGACTTTACCTAAAGCTTAAGTTGTTAGGATAAGGTCAAACATCTAAGAGAGACCCAAAATTGATGAGACATTAACCTCTATCCCAGCCTTATCATCAAAGATATGTGTTTGCTCTTATCATTTTAAGCTAATTTAACTGGAATTGACAATTGCTTCACCACAATTACCACATAACATTAAAAAGCCATTAGCTAACTTTACAGAAGTTTCCCTAGTTCTCTTGAGAGACTCACAAATATCTGTGAACTGATCCTGATTTTAGAGGTGATCACTTGAGATAGAACGCATACATCACAGCTAAGTGCATAGACCATGGAATCATATAGACGCAAGTTGATTCCTGGCTTTACTAGAAATTAGCTGTGCAACCCTGAACAATACAATCCCTCTGAACCTTGGATCCCTTATGAACATAATGTCAATGACAATCATATTACCTATGCCATAGAATGACTGTGAGGATTCAGTGAGGCAACAGACAGTGCACGGTGAAAGATTACTAAGACTAGCTGGCAGTGGTGAAAGAGTGATGGCTTCAAAATGGTAAAGAAGAGCGAATACATTTGAAAGACCAAAACAGCTTAAGTATGATGATAAGGGTCACAAGGAGTTTCACACAGGCTGGACTGATTATATGTCTGTGTAGGGCAATAAGACAATCAGGTCACTGACAAATGTAGGTCTTGAGTATGGCATAGATCCACTGAAATCAGGATAATGATCAGTGAATTACTACGCAATCAGAGGTGGGCTTGCCTGCCTTACCTGATCAAATGGATGACTGATCAGTTTCAGTAGAAATATTTATTTGAGGTAGTTACACCAGCACTTCCATTATGCATTTCCTCAGGGATGTTTCCCTCAGTTGTTGACTTCATTGACTTCATGTCTCTTTATTGACCTTTGATACAAAACCAAGGAATCTTAGGAGTTCCTGGGTTCTAATCTCAGATCTTCCACCATGAATTTCTCTGAAAATTCTCAGGGCTTATTTGTGTGTGTGTGTGTGTGTGTGTGTGTGTGTGTGTGTGTGTGTGTGTAAGATGTATGTGTGTGTGTGTGTGTTTGGGATGGTAGAGTATAACTGCTCAGGATCATAAAAAGCTGTTTGGCTGACATTCTAGAAATGAAATAACATTCCTAGAGAACTGTCATCTTGACCATGAAAGAATGACACCATAAGCAAAATAGTCATTTCAGGCAATATCTTAAACCAATTGTACTTAGAGAGTTCAAGAGCAGTTGGTCCAATACAGTTGGCCAAATTATCTTTTACAATATACCTTCAGTGACATAGGTATGTCAATATATGGTGATATGGTTATAAAATACATACACAGATTCCCTAATTCCCTAATTTATCTAAGGTCTTGGATTAGAATTTAAAATTTTGGATTTGTCTTCGCATAATCAAATACAATTCTTAAGCCAGGAATTAAAAAATAACAGTGTTTCCCCAAAAGAACCGAAACCAGAAAAATGTGCTGATTTCAGTTTCTAATTTATCATGGATATTTTTCTGAACAGCTAATATTTGGTGATACCTAAACATTCCCAACTCAGGTATCTTTATTACTTCCATTACAGCCTTATTTTCCCAAAAAGTACAAAGGAATTATATACCAAGACCCACCTTGAATTATGTGGCTTTATATGCTATAATTATAAACATGCAGATTAAACCACTCATGACAGATAGAAGAATCATCACCAAGATTGAAACTGGAATGACATAAATCTAACAAAGAATTTCAAAAGGACAAATTGTTATTTTGGAGAAAAATTAAACAACTCTGAAACATACAAATCAAGGGAGTTACTTGTTAGGCAAAACCCTTAAACCAAATTAATAATAATAAAAGAACATTTAAACAGCTAACAGCATTGTTCACACATTTCTGTCACCTTTCCCCAAGGTTAATAGGAAAGAGCTCGTGTGCACATTTTCCATTTTGTGGCTTACCACATTCAGAAAGGAAGCAATCTTTTCCCCCAGGCAGTTCTGAGTTGAATAAAAGGAAACAAAGCAGGAAACATCTTTCTTATTAAGTGACCATGTTCTCTGTACTGGTTTCCAATGAAGAGGAAAAAAAGAAGAGGTAAAAGGCTAGGTCCATTCACATCACATTGGGACTGAACTTAAATGTCAGCTCAACCAAACAAGTTAAAACTAGACATCTAAAACTTGACATCCTAAAATTGTTATATCTATTTTAAAAATCCCTAAAAATTACTGAGTGATTGAATGACTGCTTTCCTAAGTTCTGGGAGGAACAGTGCCCTCCTAAAATGCATTACCTAGACAATTCAATAACTAAAAATGAAACATAAAAATTCACTTATCCTGCACTTTAAAAAATCATTTTACTTTATAACTAAACAATGGAATAGGCTAATATTTTAAAAGCTACTTCCCTATGCATGCAGAGGGAATTCTACATTTTATGAAGTTTGCTCCTATCTAGAGATAACAGCAACACAAGCTCTTACAGAGAATAAGAACAAGAACTGTATTAACATCATACAAGAAATTACACTATGTTCAAAAATATACACAATAAACTCTCTAATACACTTGTATTTGTAGCATATTATAGGAGAATTTTCAACAGCCATTGTAGTATGGGGAAATAAATAGCATTTGGACTTCTAAACAGTCCTGAGTCTCTGTTTCTCTTTCCTTGTCCAAAAATGTAGCAATGAAAGTCAACAAATTGTATCCCTCTTCTTTGCCCCCAAGCTGTATTTAATAGTAAAAAAATAAAAAAAGATTATCGTTTAAAAACTGCTTTTGGTTCTGTCCCTGCCATTCTCTTGCTGCCCAAACTTAGACAAATAACTTCCTTTATTACTCAATCCAAGTAACATTGATTGAGTCTCCACAAATTCCATGTATGGGCAATACTTTTCCTCAGTCCCCTCTCAACTGCCTGTCACAGATGTGAAGAAGGCTGTGGGATGGCAATTTTTATAGAAACCATGAAAGTCATGATACTGAACTAGAGTTACCTATAGAACTAGAGTTGCCTATAGAACTAGAGTTGCCTACAATGGTGGTTGGGTAATCCCAAAAGAGCCTGAGAGAAGGAAGATGGCACTTTGAGAAAAGTAGACAAAAGGCAGGAATCTTTGAGAAAAAGAAGGGCTGAGACAAGAACCGCACATGAAATGTGAGGCCACATCTGTCCCTCCTAATGAGCCTGGTGACCAGGTGGAGAAATATGGCTCCCTCAACGTGGAGCATCAAACAATAAGATCTCAAAATGTAAAAAGTCATAAGAAGTAAATTTCTTTTCCCGACATATATATCTTACTAATAATATGACTGCTCAGATGGAACTCTAAACAAATCATTTTTCCAAGTTTCTTACAGATGGTGTATTAGTCTGCTCTCATGCTACTATGAAGAAATACCTGAGACTGGGTAATTTATAATGGAAAGAGGTTTAATTGACTCACAGTTCCACAGGGCTAGAGAGGCCTCAGGAAACTTACAATTGTGGCAGAAGGGGGAGCAAACACATCTTTCTTCACATGGCGGCAGGAAGAAGTGCCGAGCAAAGGAGGAAAACCCTGTTATAAAAAACCATCAGATGTCATGATAACTCACTCACTATCACAAGAACAGCATGGAGGTAACTGCCCCCCATGATGAAATTACCTCCTACAAGGTCTCTCCCATGACACATGGAGATTATGGGAAGTACAATTCAAGATGAGACTTGGGTGGGAACACAGCAAAACCATATCATATGGTAGATTCTCTGCATTTCAGAGAAACTTCAGAACACTTGTTCTGAGGAGGTGGATCTTCAGAATATCACCTGCTTCAGAAAAGCACCTGCTTCACTCTCAATGAGCTGGAAAGGGGGTGTTCTGTCTTCCCTCTGAGAGCCTACTTCCTCTGGTGCCTCAGTCATTGGCTTTCCAGGTCAGCAGTGGTCTTGAACTCTCATCCATTCACATTACTTCTGGGGTTTCCTCACACTATTTATAAAAATGTCATCTGTCTGCCTGGTATTCAGATCCACCATAGACTACATAACAGGCTCCTTAAAGCCAGCAGTGGTGCCAAAAGTTACTGAGATGCCCAAACTGAAAACGCTTTGGCCCCAGGAAAGGAGCGTTCGTTAGCCTCTGTGCCCTTACCTGAGAAATGGGAAAATCTAAAGCAAAGCATGCTAGAAGTATAGGTAAATAAAGGCCTTCTTTGATAAGATGTAGGTGAACGTAGCATTTTTGAGAAAGTTAGAAAAAACAGAGAGGTCAGTGGTGCTCTCTACTCTCCAGGCTGCCAAAATCTCTTGCACACACTTCAGCATATTCTTCCCAGTAGGGCTACCTCTCACCTATCTGCTCAGTCCATCAATTGTCCACCAATCTGCTCTCTACACTGCAGCAGAGATTCTTCAAAATGCATGTGTTATCAGGCCACCTCCCAGTTCTTCTGACCCTCACACATTTCAGTGCTCTCACTGTTCTAAGTTAATAACTAAACATTTTTAAATGGCTACAGGTCCTACAGAACTGGCCCCTGACCATCTTTCATTCTTATTTTGTACTGCCTCTTTCTTCTTGAGTCCCTCATTCTTCTGCTCCTGCACTTTCCGCCTTTCAGTTTCTTGAATGCACCTCATTCCCCCCTGCCTCAAGGCTTCAAACCCACTGGCCTGGGCCTGGCAAACTCCTTTCCCTCCTTGTGCTCTTCTGCTGGTTCTTCAGATTTCAGTTCAAACACCACACCTTGGAGGAAAGGCTTCCTGACTCCTGCCATTAAGCCAAATCTTCACATCAGTTGGCTGCCATAGTCCCCAGTTAGCACAGTTGGTGAGTATAAATGTCTTGTGTGATGATTGGATTACTGTGTCTCTACTGCACTAAGAGGTAAGCTCTATGAGGGAAGGACCATGTCTTTTGTTCTGCTCTACTTAGCATTACCTGGTCAGTGGCTAGCTCAGTGCCAAGCACACATGGATGCTCAATGCAATGTGTTGCATGAATGAATTCATGAATTAATAAACAAAAAATGAATGAATACACTATGGTCCTCAGCTTCCTCAACTGTAAGTTGAGGGTTAAGACTAGATACCATCAAGGGTCCTTCACAGACATGACAAATTAAATAATCATTCTATTTCCATGTTTATATTACCAGGTATAGGCCATGCTTAATATTATATTTAGAATACATTCACTCAACATATGTTGAAAATTGGAAATACAACTATACAAGTTGAAGATCTTGCACTCAAGATATTTACAATCCAATTACAAATTCAGACAAGTTTCTTAGAATAGCGATTGCTGGCTACTTTGACATGGGTATGCCCATGAAGCTATGAGAGCGCCCAGTATAATATCTAACCTATCCTGAAAAAGAAATAATGGCAGAGAGGAAGGGAGAGAAATGTCTAGAAGGCTTTCCAGAAGATTTGATGTAAGAGCTAAAAGTTGGGTTAATTGGATAAAGAAGGGAAAGGAAAGGCAGGACTTTCTGAGAACGGTAAGTGGGCAAGATGGTAAAAGAAAATTTATTTTCTGAGTAGTGCCAGTAGTTTCAGGTAGCTGGATATAAGTGGTTAATCCAATATGATGGACCTATGGGTGTTTTTAGTTGCCATTCTTGAATAGAAACATTTTTACCACCCTGAGACACATGAGGCATTTGTAAATATGACATATGTATCATTAACAGTAGGATACAGGTTCAGTGATGTGCAGAGGTCAGGGCTGGTGGGAGCCACAGCAGCCTCTTAGACACATATCTTGGCAGGTAACATTAAACAAAACAGTTTTAGATGATTGTGATGATTCTCCCCCTTCCCCTAATAAAACTTACTGCTACTTTCAGAGTAGTAGTTCCCATTTAATAGATGGACACTGTAGACATGAAAAGGTACTTGCCAATATCTTCCAAATAATTAATTCTATAGCTATGAGAATGTTTAGTATTTTCAATATCCAAGAAGTCTTGTATAGCTTGTTCAGTTTGCTAGTTTGAGAGCTTATTTCAGTCACTGCTCTTGTTTTATGTACCAGGGGCACTGAGTGGTGTGAATGTGCTTACAAGCAGATTGATAGTTGGAGAATCAGTCAGGAAATGGGAAGAGCCAATGATTTCTGGATACCTATGTTTAAGCTCTGCAACCTCTACCCCTACCTTCACCCATATGGCTGGAGCTAATGGCAGCTACTTGGGTTGCTAACACATGATTCATAGAAAGAATCAAAGGAGGAACTGTGCAGATATAATAGACAACACTACAACCAATATGGCTCGGGAGGATGCCTGTGCCCATGGAGTATTCCCTGCTCCCCACAGTGCCTGCAAATTAAGGGGACAAAGTTGACTTTCAGTGGACTTTTTCTGTTTTTCCCTTGCCTCAAGGCCACATTCAAGCTCTTGTTATCGGAATTGCCATTTGTAGCTAGAGCACAGCAATTTTCACATCTTCATAAAGGCTGCATATTTGAAGTCATTCTCTTAGCATATTTAGCTACTACACAAACAAAAAACAAGCAAAATTACTTTAAATGCTGATATTATTTTTAAAGGGCAAATCAATTTCCAAAACCAAATAAAATGGAAGTCATTAAAAAGTCATGGTCGGGCTAAAGCAGGTGGTTAAGTATATCATTTAGTTGCCCAAATCAAGTTCAAAACCAATGACTTTTTGTCCCAGAGCAAATAGTTTACAAGAAAAAGTACAAATATCAAAAACAATGGCCGAATGTTAGATATTTTGTCACAACTTAGTATCAGGCTACATGGAATGTCACCAGTCTATCAGATTGACTATTTTCCTCTCTTCTTTTTCCTTGGGATAATTAACAAACTCGAGTTTTAGAAATGCTTTACAGCTTGAAATAAATCATGGGAGATTTAAGTACATTTAAAAATGTTTCCTTACCCATCTCTCCCACTCTCCCAACTTTTCTCCTGATACACACAAGTGATAACTTAAGGTTAATGTCTCAGAAAAATCTCAAAAAAGTAAAGAGGTATCTGCTCCCTGATGTAAATTAGAACATGTATTTGCTTTTGTAAAAAATCCATGTTTTTTAAAAATAAACATTTCCCAGGGTTTCCTTCTCTCCAAATACAATTTCAAGATTGTTTACATTCCAAACCCAAGCAAGAGATGAAACCCAACTCCAGCATAACATTATACCTGGTGATCACATGGACTCTACTCAGCTTGCGAAATGCCAAGCCTGATAACATACTGCTTCATCCTGGCTCACATCCTTATGAAATAGGAGGTACCTGATTTTTTTTCACCCATTTCAGGGTGAACTGTCTGAATGTTCTTCAAGAACTGTTGAAGGTGAAATCTATCACCTAAAATGATTACCATATTAATAGCAGAAGAAGATGACATTACTGGATCATGGTATTTCAATAGTTCATTGTGGGTCTGGGACTTCTTACAAAGATGATTTGGAAAAAAGCCTTTGCCTATCAAGGGGAAGAAGAAGGAAAGAGGCCCTAGGGTCTCAAAGTCCTCATTTTATGTTTTTCTTAAAGCTAGGCTTTGCCTGTGCCTACTATCTTTCATCACATCTTCAGATTCATGGAAGATTATACTTCCAGCTGACTGCAATGCAGCAGTTGTGATGACCCCTATGTGAGAAACAAATTTTCCTGGGACAATTGGTGGACAACTTTATTGTATGTTGTTTCTCTCCTTCTCCTTCTCCTTGTTCCTCTTCAATCATATACAATGAGTTTAAGTTCCATCTAGGGGAAAAAGAAAACAAATTCTTTTTTAATTAAAAAAAAACAGTAATAGATTTTGAACACTGCCTCAAGTGTAGGAATGTTCACAGCCCTCTAGGACATGACATTAATTATATAAACCCATCTGTGTCACACCAACACAAAACTTAATCTGAATGAGATAACACTAGCCTTCCCTCAAAATGGGCACCATAATCTACTCAGTATTGAAGTACCAGGCTGAAGGGGAGAGGTATAGGTTTGAGACCCTAGCTGGGGCACCCTTTCAGTGTTTTTTCGGTAGCACAGCCCTTATCTCAGCAATTTCTAACTTTCTTTTCTTGCCCTTGACTTCCAGATACAATATGTTTGCCAACAGAATAATATTGACAGTGACACCACTCTATCGGTGTGGTCACTTTCGTATCACTAACGTTGGCAGGTTTATCAGAGAAAATTCAACTGATTTCTTTCTTTTTGTGGAGTAGAAACAGTCATTTAACCTCTCTGAATCTCGGCTTTCTAAATGAAAAACAGGGAACAATGTTTCTCTCCTACCCTATTCGACACTGTTGTTAAGGGCTAAGTAACGGAATATGTGAAAGTGGTTTTGAAAGTTTTTGAGAACCCATCACAGATATGCAGGAAGTAACTATTAAAATAAGTTGAAATGGGACTCTGAGACAATTATTTGAATGGAGGAGGGAAAAATATATAAATCTGGCTTTTGAAAGTGATCTTTGCCTTAAATTACCTAGACTGGCTTTTATATTATTCAAACACGCCAAATAATCATTGTTTATTCTCTCTTTGCCCTGACTTGTGGAGAGTGAGTTGAAGTTGAAGATATTATTATTGTCATCATTATTATTATGGTGGGGCACACCTGCCAGTCACAATTCAGTAACTATTAAACATACGGTAATTACTTTTCATGCAAAAAAATAATGGGCAAATGTTGCCTGGTTAAATGGCACATCTAATAGGTTTGAAACCTGATTCACATCAATCATTAGGTACAGATTTATACTTTCACGACTAAATGCCCACCATGCAACATTTTCATGATCTAATTCTGCTCCACGGAACTATTTTGCTGCACAAAACTGCTCTCCTATTATAAATTGTTGTTACTATGTCTTCAGCATTATGAGTATTATAGCAGCTATGATCATCATACACGTACTTTAGACTTGAACTTGGCCCCTGACATTGTTACAATAGCATTTAAGGAACTCAGAATAGATTAATCATAATAGTATCCATTTGGAGACTATATCACAAAGCAAAACCCAGGAATGGCTTTGGCTTTGCTCTCAGTTTTGCAAACCTATATATGGAAGCTCTCTCTCAGCTAATGTTCTTTGCATGACAAATACATTTGGATCTACTGCCTTGTATTTATTTTCCTCCAAGGACGTAACTATCCATGTCTTGCCCCCAAGTAACCTTGAAAGCCTAGCTGGATACTTTGTTTTCCTAGGCATGGTTTTGCTAGAGGGGGTTGTTTCTAAGCACTGAGCTGGGAAAAAAAACTAAGCAGGCTTATTTTCCAAATCTAGACACATACCTCCCCACCATGGGAAATGGTCAAGGGAAAAATGTAAAATGGAATTAAGTTCGATTTTCCAGGTTCCATTTGACTTTGAAGAGCCAAGGTAATGTTATAAAAGGCTAGAATAAAGACAATTAGCATCTTCATTTGCTGAAAGATAGAACAAGAACTCAAAGAGTTTCAGCCAATCATAAGGAACCACTTTGCTTTTGTAGCAAAACATACAATAGATTATCAAACATACTTTTTGTCTAGCTCAGATATGCAGATATCCCTCACCTTGTGCATAAGTGGCTGTTTTATTCTTCAATAGTTATGCAGAAGTTATTTTTAATAAAGCAAATTATGTCTGTAGAAAGGGATATGTAATTTAGGGCATCATTATAGCACTTCAGCGGCCAAATATATATAGTATTTCCTATGTTAGGTATACTCTCAGGGGACGATGGTTTACGAACGAGCTTCAGATGTACAGGTAATGTAATCATTAGGTATAGATCACATTGTGATGAAAATAACAGCTTCACAAAAATGACTGCACCTCAGATTCTGTTGGGATGGAAAAACAAGATTATGATGGAACCAGGAGTTATAACAATAATGAGATGGAATGTTAGTAAGGCTGTTGTCTTCATTTTCATAGCTTCATATACTCAAGGCACTTAGTTTAACACACACACATTTTATATATTTTATATTTATTAACAGCTAATAAGGGCTTTCTTTTTGCAATTTTACTAATTTTCAAATATTAAGGTTGATGCAAAAGTAATTGCGGTTTTAGATCATGAATTTTAAATCATTTTATAACTAGGGTCAAACACATCTTTATTAATCAAAATAAGAACCGTTACAATCAACACTTTTTTGCCAATGAGAAATAAGTTTGTTTATTTCTGTAGCATAAAAATCTATACTTCAGGATTTGATGAACTCCTGGAAAGTATTTCCTGCATCCTGCTGGTTGTGGAAGCATTTTCCCTGCAGTAAGTTATCAAGATGCTTGAGGAAGTGGGAGTCAGTTCGCGAGAGATCAGGTGAATATGGCAAATGAGGCAAAACTTCGTAACCCAATGCATTCAACTTCTGAAGTGTTGGTTGTGCAACATGCAGTCGGGCGTTGTCCTGGAGAATTGAGCCCCTTCTGTTGAACAATGCTGGCTGCAGGTGTTGCAGTTTTCACTACATCGCACTGATTTGCTGAACATCCTTCCCAGATGTAATTGTTCAGCCAGGATTCAGAAAGCTGTAGTGGATCAGACCAGCAGCAGACCACCAAGCAGTGACCATGAACATTTTTTTGGTGTAAGTTTGGCTTTGGGAAGTTCTTTGGAGCTTCTTCTTGGTCCAACCACTGAGCTGGTCATCACCAGTTGTCATATAAAATCCACTTTTCCTCACAAGTAACAATCTGATTGAGAAATTGTTTGTTGTTGTTGCTGCACAGAATAAGAGAAAACCACCCTTCAAAATAATGATTTTTTAATTTTCTCTCAGCTCATGAGGCATCCACTTATCAAGCTTTTTCACCTTTCCAATTTTCTTCAAATGTCGAACGATCATAGAATGGTCAACGTTGAGTTCTTCGGCAACTTCACTTGTTTTTTTTTTTTTGAGACGGAGTCTCACTCTGTTGCCCAGGATGGAGTGCAGTGGCGCCATCTCAGCTCATTGCAAGCTCCACCTCCCAGTTTCACGCCATTCTCCTGCCTCAGCCTCCCGAGTAGCTGGGACTACAGGCGCCTGCCACCATGCCCGACTAATTTTTTATATTTTTAGTACAGACAGGGTTTCACTGTGTTAGCCAGGATGATCTCGATCTCCTGACCTCATGATCTGCCCGCCTCGGCCTCCCAAAGTGCTGGGATTACAGGCGTGAGCCACCATGCCTGGCCCTTCACTTGTAGTTTTAAGAGGATAAGCTTCAAGATTGCTCTCAACTGGTTGTTGTCAACTTCCAAGAGCCAGCCACTACACTCCTCATCTTCAAGGCTCTCATCTCCTTTGCAAAACTTCTTGAATCACCACTACACTGTATGTTCGTTAGTTCCTGGGCCAAATTTGTTGTTGATGTTGTGAGTTGCCTCCATTGCTTTATGACCCATTTTGAACTACAATAAGGAAATTGCTTGAATTTGCTTTTTATCTAACATCACTTTCATAGTCTAAAATAAAAATAAAATAAACAGCAAGTAGTAAGTCATTAGCAAAAACAAGTGAGAAATACCTATTAAAATGATGTATAACATAACCACATGTAAGAATGTATTCCCGCTCTTGAAGCCAAGATGGCCGAATAGGAACAGCTCTGGTCTACAGCTCCCAGTGTGAGCGACGCAGAAGACGGGTGATTTCTGCATTTCCATCTGAGGTACCGGGTTCATCTCACTAGGGAGTGCCAGACAGTGGGCGCAGGTCAGTGGGTGCGCATACCCTGCGCGAGCCAAAGCAGGGCGAGGCATTGCCTCACTCGGGAAGCCCAAGGGGTCAGGGAGTTCCCTTTCCTAGTCAAAGAAAGGGGTGACAGACGGCACCTGGAAAATCGGGTCACTCCCACCTGAATACTGCGCTTTTCCAACCGGCTTAAAAAACAGCGCATCAGGAGATTATATCCCGCACCTGGCTCAGAGGGTCCTACACCCACGGAGTCTTGCTGATTGCTAGCACAGCAGTCTGAGATCAAACTGCAAGGCGGCAGCAGGCTGGGGGAGGGGCGCCCGCCATTGCCCAGGCTTGCTTAGGTAAACAAAGCAGGGGGGAAGCTGGAACTGGGTGGAGCCCACCACAGCTCAAGGAGGCCTGCCTGCCTCTGTAGGCTCCACCTCTGGGGGCAGGGCACAGACAAACAAAAAGACAGCAGTTACCTCTGCAGACTTAAATGTCCCTGTCTGACAGCTTTGAAGAGAGCAGTGGTTCTCCCAGCACGCAGCTGGAGATCTGAGAATGGGCAGACTGCCTCCTCAAGTGGGTCCCTGACACCTGACCCCCGAGCAGCCTAACTGGGAGGCATCCCCCAGCAGGGGCAGACTGACACCTCACACGGCCGGGTACTCCAACAGAAGTGCAGCTGAGGGTCCTGTCTGTTAGAAGGAAAACTAACAAACAGAAAGGACATCCACACCAAAAACCCATCTGTACATCACCATCATCAAAGACCAAAAGTAGATAAAACCACAAAGATGGGGAAAAAACAGAGCAGAAAAACTGGAAACTCTAAAAAGCAGAGCGACTCTCCTCCTCCAAAGGAACGCAGTTCCTCACCAGCAACGGAACAAAGCTGGATGGAGAATGACTTTGACGAGCGGAGAGAAGAAGGCTTCAGACAATCAAATTACTCCGAGCTACGGGAGGACATTCAAATCAAAGGCAAAGAAGTTGAAAACATTGAAAAACATTTAGAAGAATGTATAACTAGAATAACCAATACAGAGAAGTGCTTAAAGGAGCTGATGGAGCTAAAAACCAAGGCTCGAGAACTACGTGAAGAATGCAGAAGCCTCAAGAGCCAATGCAATCAACTGGAAGAAAGGGTATCAGCGATGGAAGATGAAATGAATGAAATGAAGCAAGAAGGGAAGTTTAGAGAAAAAAGAATAAAAAGAAATGAGCAAAGCCTCCAAGAAATATGGGACTATGTGAAAAGACCAAATCTATGTCTGATTGGTGTACCTGAAAGTGACGGGGAGAATGGAACCAAGTTGGAAAATACTCTGCAGGATATTATCCAGGAGAACTTCCCCAATCTAGCAAGGCAGGCCAACATTCAGATTCAGGAAATACAGAGAACGCCACAAAGATACTCCTCCAGAAGAGCAACTCCAAGACACATAATTGTCAGATTCACCAAAGTTGAAATGAAGGAAAAAATGTTAAGGGCAGCCAGAGAGAAAGGTCGGGTTACCCTCAAAGGGAAGCCCATCAGACTAACAGCAGATCTCTCGGCAGAAACTCTACAAGCCAGAAGAGAGTGGGGGCCAATATTCAACATTCTTAAAGAAAAGAATTTTCAACCCAGAATTTCATATCCAGCCAAACTAAGCTTCATAAGTGAAGGAGAAATAAAACACTTTACAGACAAGCAAATGCTGAGAGATTTTGTCACCACCAGGCCTGCCCTAAAAGAGCTCCTGAAGGAAGCGCTAAACATGAAAAGGAACAACCGGTACCAGCCGCTGCAAAATCATGCCAAAATGTAAAGACCATCGATACTAGGAAGAAACTGCATCAACTAAGGAGCAAAATAACCAGCTAACATCATAAGGACAGGATCAAATTCACACATAACAATATTAACTTTAAATGTAAATGGACTAAATGCTCCAATTAAAAGACACAGACTGGCAAACTGGATAAAAAGTCAAGACCCATCAGTGTGCTGTATTCAGGAAACCCATCTCACGTGCAGAGACACACATAGGCTCAAAATAAAAGGATGGAGGAAGATCTACCAAGCAAATGGGAAACAAAAAAAGGCAGGGGTTGCAATCCTAGTCTCTGATAAAACAGACTTTAAACCAACAAAGATCAAAAGAGACAAAGAAGGCCATTACATAATGGTAAAGGGATCAATTCAACAAGAAGAGCTAACTATCCTAAACATATATGCACCCAATACAGGAGCCCCCAGATTCATAATGCAAGTCCTGAGTGACCTACAAAGAGACTTAGACTCCCACACATTGTTAATGGGAGACTTTAACACCCCACTGTTAACATTAGACAGATCAACGAGACAGAAAGTCAACAAGGATACCCAGGAATTGAACTCAGCTCTGCACCAAGCAGACCTAATAGACATCTACAGAACTCTCCACCCCAAATCAACAGAATATACATTTTTTTCAGCACCACACCACACCTATTCCAAAATTGACCACATACTTGGAGGTAAAGCTCTCCTCAGCAAATGTAAAAGAACAGAAATTATAACAAACTATCTCTCAGATCACAGTGCAATCAAACTAGAACTCAGGATTAAGAATCTCACTCAAAACCGCTCAGCTACATGGAAACTGAACAACCTGCTCCTGAATGACTACTGGGTACATAACGAAACGAAGGCAGAAATAAAGATGTTCTTTGAAACCAACGAGAACAAAGACACAACATACCAGAATCTCTGGGATGCATTCAAAGCAGTGTGTAGAGGGAAATTTATAGCACTAAATGCCCACAAGAGAAAGGAGGAAAGATCCAAAATTAACACCCTAACATCACAATTAAAGGAACTAGAAAAGCAAGAGCAAACACATTCAAAAGCTAGCAGAAGGCAAGAAATAACTAAGATCAGAGAAGAACTGAAGGAAATAGAGACACAAAAAACCCTTCAAAAAATTAATGAATCCAGGAGCTGGTTTTTTGAAAGGATCAACAAAATTGATAGACCGCTAGCAAGACTAATAAAGAAAAAAAGAGAGAAGAATCAAATAGACACAATAAAAAATGATAAAGGGGATATCACCACCGATCCCACAGAAATACAAACTACCATCAGAGAATACTACAAACACCTCTACGCAAATAAACTAGAAATCTAGAAGAAATGGATAAATTTCTGGACACATACACTCTCCCAAGACTAAACCAGGAAGAAGTTGAATCTCTGAGTAGACCAATAACAGGATCTGAAATTGTGGCAGTAATCAATAGCTTACCAACCAAAAAGAGTCCAGGACCAGATGGATTCACAGCCGAATTCTACCAGAGGTACAAGGAGGAACTGGTACCATTCCTTCTGAAACTATTCCAATCAATAGAAAAAGAGGGAATCCTCTCTAACTCATTTTATGAGGCCAGCATCATCCTGATACCAAAGCCGGGCAGAGACACAACAAAAAAAGAGAATTTTAGACCAATATCCTTGATGAACATTGATGCAAAAATCCTCAATAAAATACTGGCAAACCAAATCCAGCAGCACATCAAAAAGCTTATCCACCATGATCAAGTGGGCTTCATCCCTGGGATGCAAGGCTGGTTCAATACACGCAAATCAATAAATGTAATCCAGCATAAAAACAGAGCCAAAGACAAATACCACATGATTATCTCAATAGATGCAGAAAAGGCCTTTGACAAAATTCAACAACTCTTCATGCTAAAAACTCTCAACAAATTAGGTATCGATGGGACATATTTCAAAATAATAAGAGCTATCTATGACAAACCCACAGCCAATATCATACTGAATGGGCAAAAACTGGAAGCATTCCCTTTGAAAACTGGCACAAGACAGGGATGCCCTCTCTCACCACTACTATTCAACATAGTGTTGGAAGTTCTGGCCAGGGCAATTAGGCAGGAGAAGGAAATAAAGGGTATTCAATTAGGAAAAGAGGAAGTCAAATTGTCCCTGTTTGCAGATGACATGATTGTATATCTAGAAAACCCCATCGTCTCAGCCCAAAATCTCCTTAAGCTGATAAGCAACTTCAGCAAAGTCTCAGGATACAAAATCAATGTACAAAAATCACAAGCATTCTTATACACCAATAACAGACAAACAGAGAGCCAAATCATGAGTGAACTCCCATTCACAATTGCTTCAAAGAGAATAAAATACCTAGGAATCCAACTTACAAGGGATGTGAAGGACCTATTCAAGGAGAACTACAAACCACTGCTCAAGGAAATAAAAGAGGATACAAACAAATGGAAGAACATTCCATGCTCATGGGTAGGAAGAATCAATATCGTGAAAATGACCTTACTGCCTAAGGTAATGTACAGATTCAATGACATCCCCATCAAGCTATCAATGACTTTCTTCACAGAATTGAAAAAAACTACTTTAAAGTTCATATGGAACCAAAAAAGAGCCCGCATCGCCAAGTCAATCCTGAGCCAAAAGAACAAAGCTGGAGGCATCACACTACCTGACTTCAAACTATACTACAAGGCTACAGTAACCAAAACAGCATGGTACTGGTACCAAAACAGAGATATAGATCAATGGAACAGAACAGAGCCCTCAGAAATAACGCCACATATCTACAACTATCTGATCTTTGACAAACCTGAGGAAAAACAAGCAATGGGGAAAGGATTCTCTATTTAATAAATGGTGCTGGGAAAACTGGCTAGCCATATGTAGAAAGCTGAAACTGGATCCCTTCCTTACACCTTATACAAAAATCAATCCAAGATGGATTAAAGACTTAAATGTTAGACCTAAAGCCATGAAAACCCTAGAAGAAAACCTAGGCATTACCATTCAGGACATAGGCATGGGCAAGGACTTCATGTCTAAAACACCAAAAGCAATGGCAACAAAAGCCAAAATTGACAAATGGGATCTAATTAAACTAAAGAGCTTCTGCACAGCAAAAGAAACTACCATCAGAGTGAACAGGCAACCTACAAAATGGGAGAAAATTTTTGCAACCTACTCATCTGACATAGGGCTAATATCCAGAATCTACAATGAACTCAAACAAATTTACAAGAAAAAAACAAACAACCCCATCAAGAAGTGGGCGTAGGACGTGAACAGACACTTCTCAAAAGAAGACATTTATGCAGCCAAAAAACACATGAAAAAATGCTCACCATCACTGGCCATCAGAGAAATGCAAATCAAAACCACAATGAGATACCATCTCACACCAGTTAGAATGGCAATCATTAAAAAGTCAGGAAACAACAGGTGCTGGAGAGGATGTGGAGAAATAGGAACAATTTTACACTGTTGGTGGGACTGTAAACTAGTTCAACCATTGTGGAAGTTGGTGTGGCGATTCCTCAGGGATCTAGAACTAGAAATACCATTTGACCCAGCCATCCCATTACTGGGTATATACCCAAAGGACTGTAAATCATGCTGCTATAAAGACACATGCACACGTATGTTTATTGCGGCACTATTCACAATAGCAAAGACTTGGAACCAACCCAAATGTCCAACAATGATAGACTGGATTAAGAAAATGTGGCACATATACACCATGGAATACTATGCAGCCATAAAAAAGGATGAGTTCATGTCCTTTGTAGGGACATGGATGAAATTGGAAATCATCATTCTCAGTAAACTATCGCAAGAACAAAAAACCAGACACTGCATATTCTCACTCATAGGTGGGAATTGAACAATGAGAACACATGGACACAGGAAGGGGAACATCACACTCTGGGGACTGTTGTGGGGTGGGGGGAGGGGGGAGGGATGGCATTGGGAGATATACCTAATGCTAGATGACGAGTTAGTGGGTGCAGCGCACCAGCATGGCACATGTATACATATGTAACTAACCTGAACATTGTGCACATGTACCCTAAAACTTAAAGTATAATAATAATAAATTAATTAATTAAAAATAAGAATGTATTCCCATATCAAATGGCAAATTTCAACAATGCAAAAACTGCAATTACTTTTGCACTCACCTAATAAAACAATGTTAAAAATAAAATGCCTTTCAGTGTAATTTTAAAATCGACACTTCTAATTATATCAAAACAATAGAAAGAATATGATTCTACATTTTAGATATTTCAGGACACTCTGCCTTTCACCAACCAGGCATCATAAAATTTTCACATAATCCTTTTAAGAAATGGTGTCCAATTTTTACAGATACAATAACCACAGAAAATGGAAAGACATTTTCCCAAAGACATGCATAAATATTTCCTTTTGCTACTAAGGCTACTCCCAAGACACCATCAAACATTTACTAAAAAGAAGAAAAGAAAATCATTTTTTAATTAGCAATATAGATTGAAGGATTTGGCTTTCCCTTTCTACTTCTTTGTCAACATCATGTGGAATAAAGCAATGAGACTACTAACTCTGAGAACTTTAATCTCCACAGATGTCCTATCTCTTTATGAGACTGACTGAATCATTTCATTCTGAACCCCTTACTTCCACTCATGTATAAGGAGGCACTGAGTATATGGCCACCAAAGTTAGTATAGTGCCCTGGAACCAAGAGAGGAGAAAGTTGAAGGAAGCGGTGTCCAACAACAGTAAATACTGCAGAAAATAAGCAGCACTAATCCGGTTTTGTCAATAGAGACATATGATAGTCTCTGAGAAAGCCATTTCATTGTAGTAGCATGGGCAGATGTCAAATCACAAGTAATCACATAGAGAGTGGGTGATAAGCAAACGGGTGGTGAGAGAGTGCAGACTCACTTTGAAAATGGCAATGAACCTGGAAGGAAGACTGGTCACAGGTGAGGACAGGGAGGTGACCTGGAGCTGATGAGTGAATATTGTCCAATGACAATGAAGGAGGAAACACTGAACTAAATCCCTATACAGCTCTGGCTAAGAAGAGAGGCAAGAGAGGCCAGAAAGCAAGTGAGCAGGCAGGGAGGACAGGCAAGAAAAAGGGATCAGCAGGAGGAAAAACTGTGGATAAATAAGGCTGAACAGAGACATCCATTTGTGTAGCCATGCCAGGCAAATCTGGTTCAATTTTTTATGTAACAAAGTTCCTCTTGTTTTTCAGTTGCCATGGACCCTCAGGTCACATAACCTGACCATGTGCGGAAGAACCAAGAGTGCAACCACAGGGGGAACCTAAGTGCTCTGACCAAGGAGTAGGGACTGAATTAAAAGCAGACACAACAATGGCAGGATCCAGGATCCAAACAGATTGAGCTCTGCCATCATCCCATGGCAAAATCCAGTCAGATTATGCCTTCTGACAACACCTCATTGCAGAATCCAATCAGATCACACCTTATTACCCTACACTTATAAAATCTGACTGCCCCCCAGCTTGGAGAGATACTGCTTTGGGAATTGCTCCTGGTGTTTCCCTTATTTGTTACAAGTAGTAAGATTCCCTTGCTAAATCCTCCTCGGTTGTGGTCACTGTGTTGATACCCATCAAGAGACAGAACCCACCTGTTATGAGGGTAACATTTGGGGAAAAAACAAAGTCATATGGGGAAAGCAAAAATTTTGAACACTTCTATATTTTATTTTATTAGAAAATTTATCTTATCTTCATTACACTTTATTACTTTCTCACCTTTTTATAAAACATATTAAAGCAAAATTTCCCCCCAACAGATTGCTCAGAGACAAATTCAAAACATAAATATACCTTAGAGAAGTACATTACTGACTCAGATTTATAGGTAGCCTAACTGACACATTATTTTCAGGGAGACCCAGCAAACTGCTACTAAACAAAGAATTGGCATTCTTCATCACCAGTAACACATTCATGAAAGCACAGGGAAGTGTGATACAGCAAACATCCCATCGTCACCCTGTGATGGAAGCGTCAAAGATGGGTCAGCAGAAGACCCTTTCAAGGATAATGCAATGCTATTTGTCCCTTTAAGGGTGAAATGAGAGACAAAAGGAAGTTCATTGTGGCTTTCTCATAAGAAATAGGGGGCAAGGATAAAATATTATTTAGTATTTGTCCAGTGGACAGCTGTTGCACCATCATGGTGACCAAGAGTGAGTCACAGGTTTATAACAGGCAAACTTTTGATGAAGTTAATATATGTTGTCTGAAATGAGTTAAATATTCTCTCCTAAAAGCACTAGTGCTCACGATATCTTGACATTTTCATAAATGAATTTACATCAATGTAATTCACTGATAAACACTCAGATATGCAGCTGTGCGGTGTGGGAGTGAGAGCCTTATTTAAGGTTGGAAATCCTGGGTTTGAGTCACTGAGTTTGAGCCATTTACTAGCTAGGTGATCTTGTGGCAATGGCTTAACTGTTCTTGACTCTATATTCTTTAGATGCCTGTTGGATGAATGATATAATGCATGGAAAGCACACAGCAGCATGTCTGCCATGAAATGGGCATATAGATTATCACTGGTTCCCTCTCTTCAATCCCTCTGGAGTCTGTTTTAAAAGAAAAGGTTTGTGCATTTGTTACACTCTAAGACTATGCCTCTGAGTCTATTAAAGCTGCAATCCCCAACTTTTTGGCATAGGGATCTGTTTCGTGGAAGATAATTTTTCCATGCTCCAGGGTGGCAGTGGGGGATGGTTTGGAGATGATTTAAGTGCATTATGTATATTATGCACTTCAATTATATTATTATTACATTGTGATATATAATGAAGTGATTGTACAACTCACCGTAATGTAGAATCAGTGGGAGCCCTGAGCTTGTTTTCCTGCAACTAGTTGGTCCCATCTGGGGGTGATGGGAGACAGTGACAGATCATCAGCAATTAGATTCTCATAAGGAATGTGCAACCTAGATCCCTTGCATGTGCAGTTCATAATAGGGTTCATGCTTCTATGAGAATTTGCTGCTGCTGCTGATCTGACAGGAAGCAGGGCTCAGATGGTGATGCAAGTAATGGAGAGTGGCTGTAGGTACAGAAGAAGCTTTGCTCACTCACCTGCAGCTCGCCTCCTGCTGCGTGACCCAGTTCCTAACAGACCGTGAACTGATACTGGTCCATGGCCCAGGGGTTGTGGACCCTTGTATAAAAGGAAGTGTATTTGCTATGTAAACAGCATTGCCCAATTCACACCAATGGGAGCCTGGGTGACTGATGAGGGTAAGCTATCATAATTCCATGGATCCTTAGGGAATGAAAATATTGGCTAGGCACATGGCTTTCCCCTTCAGGAGGAAAAATGCACTTTTAGGCACTCTGTGTAATCCAAAATACCGGCCTAATTTTGAGAGCAGTCATCTAGTTATATAATTTCGAAAACTTTAAAAATCTAACCAATATTTAGAACCCTGAAATATTATTGTTCAGAGTGTTAGAAATCACAGAGTATGTAAATAGATAAGAACTATCTGGTATTTCATTATTCAGATCTGACAGTTTCCTGAATTACCGGCCTTCCCCCATTAAAATTTATAATAGTGCATTTCTTTGTGTTGTAATGTGTATCTAAAGTTTAAAATTGTCTGAATTTAATCTTCTAGAGGTTTTATGTGTCTAGAATGAAAGTATTTAGGAACCCTAGTGTCATGCTCAGACCTCCTTGATTCTAACCAGTTTATCAAGAAATGAGACCTTTTATTTACTCTTACCAACATCTTTATTATTGGACAGAAAGGGTCTATAGTCATGCCTCCTCAAACAGGGTATTATGTTCAATGTTATGGATTGATACAACAATGTTAAAGGCCTCATTCATGTTTGAAAGGACAGTATGAGCTTACAGTGAAATTAGACATTCACAAATAATGACAGCAGAAATCAGCAAGTGATGAGCCCAACTCAAGTGGTGCCACATGTTAATGGATTTCACAGACATGAATAAGATTTTTGCAGCTGGTAACATTTATGTGGTCTTTTGTGAATGTATAAGATGTTGATAACCCAATATGATAAAAGGGAGTTTATTCCAGGTAGTGACATGAGCAAAGACTGGCAAGAAATGATCTCAGAAATTCAAGAAAAACATTTCTTTTATTGCTCAATAGTAGAAAAGGTAGGGTTTTTTAGCTGCTTCAACAGCCCCATCCTCTGTAGTTGTAGGCTGTAAGCTTCATGAGGGCAGAAGCTATGTCTGCTGAATTCATCACTATGTAACCCATAGCTCATCCGAACACCCTGAAAGTAAATATTTATTGAATGAATGGAAGTGTAGATTAAGGAGAATATCAACATGGAAGTAGAGAAACTCTGTTTTTGGCTCTGATGGCTTAATGTCTTTTAAAGTCTTAGGTAAACTTAGAAAATGGAATGGGTCCCATAGATGGAAAGGATATTTAATATGTTGTTGGCATAAGTTAAAAATAATCTTGAAAAACTGGAAAGATTGTGTAACACCAATGAGATGCAATTTAGTATGGATAAGTCAAAGTTATTCCATATTGAGATTCAAAAAGGCAAATAAAAGGGAAACCTATTAATGTGATCTTTCAAGCCCTTTCCAAACCTTGGATTCCATAAGTGCTTTCCTTTAGGTAGCAGAACTTATCTAGGAATCACATAGGAGAATAAAATATAATGAGTTCATTCATTCAGCAAATATTTGTGAAATACAGAGGTGCCCCTTTATTATTAGTTCATGAACCTCTTGATACATTACCACCTATAGTGCTTGACACTGAATAGGCAGGCAGTCAATACATATTCACTAAATGACAAAATGCATAGAATTTCTTCAGCCTCACCAATCCTAACACATCATGTTTAATATTCATTATTTTTCTATCTAGGAAATCGCCACTAAAAGATGTAGAGTTCTTATAGTTCTTTCTTTTAAGGAGAGGTAAATAACAGGGAATACAATGAAAGATGAGGGTGAATTTCATTGGAATTCCTACAGCATTGTGTGCACTCCCCTTATGACACATTCCATTGTACATTATGTTCCAGTTATTTGCAAACAAGATTTTTCTATTATCCTGTGAGCACTTACAGTCCAAAACTGGCATCCAAGTTATTTGAAGCCTTAGGAAACACCTAGCATAATGTTTTGCACACATTAGTCCTTAAAAATATTTGTTGGATGTTGAAGTTAAAAGAGATTTAGTATAAACCTTGACCAGAACAACATTATATAAATAGAAGTACTGAGGAAGGGGCTGGTAATGAACCAGAATATAAAAACGGAGAATAGCGCTCGTGATAAACTGCCTCGTGTGGCCTTTAGGCCTTTCAGCCTGAATTTAGGCATAAAAGAAATCCATCAACTCGTCAATTAAACCACAGGACTTACAGTACTCAAGATCCAAACAGCATCCTCATCGAGTTATTCTCACTTTGTGTAACTATATTCTGAAATCAAGTTATAAGGTAATTTTAGAATTCACCTGCTTTCAGAATTTCCTGCCTATAACTAGGAAGAAATGAATGAAAATCTGTGAGAAGGTCTTATCAGCAGTTATTTTAAAACCTTGGGTGAAAAGATTGCTTACCCTGCTTGACTTGCCTTGGTTTCAAACCTCACATTTATAGCCCTTTCATGGGGATGTCTTTGGAACTCTCTGCCATGGATATCAACATAATGTAATAAAGCCTTTTTAAGATATCAGGAAAAAAAACTCTTTGGAATGAGAACCAAGATTGATTTCCCTTATTTTGACCTCTGTCAAAATACAGTGAGGTCTCGTAAACAGATCATAAATTTAAGTGCATATTGTTGCCTATAAAATCCATTCTGAGAATAGAACTTCAACATTAAAATCAAGAAATAAAAAGGTATGTACAAGTTTTTATCTTTTCTGCTTCATGAATATCAGCTTCAGTAAGAAAATGTGTCTCAAATGTATAAATTCAAATGCAACACATGCTAACTTGCCCTCCTGAACACCCAAAAGTCTTTGGTCAGAATGCAATTAAAGGAATTCTAATCTACTAATTAGCAACAAAGCAACTTTTATGTAAAAAAAAACGCCAGTCTCCTAAATTCATGATGCTTATTCACCTCTGCTGATCTAGAGCTAACAAAAAGAGCATTTTCACCTTCATTCAAAACCAGGCTACAACCACTTGCAAAAACCTCCTCCACATTTCAGGATTAAGAAACAGTTAATCAACCACTGAAGTACCAAACATGAAAAAAAGAACTGTAATAATAACCACTAGTATTTGTCCCTTAGAAAACAACATAATATGTAAAGAGGACCCATTTTAATGCTTTACAAGTGAAATAAGTTAATGAAGAATAGACAAAAAGAACTTCTTTTTAGGAGGATTTTCCCTAACAAGCTATGAACCCTGGAGACTACTAATAGAATCATATCTGACATACCAATAATTTAATATGTGTATCTAACCATAAAATATAAACTGGCTCCTGAAGAATAGACTTATATGAAGGGCTAAAAGGAGAATTCATAGAAGCTTTGCTGTTTTATTTATTTATTTATTTATTTATTTATTTATTTATTTGAGACGGAGTCTCACCCTGTCGCCCAGGCTGGAGTGCAATGGCGTGATCTCAGCTCACTGCAACCTCCGCCTCCCGGGTTTGAATGATTCTCCTGCCTCAGCCTCCCAAGTAGCTGGGACTACAGGCACCCGCCACCACATCCAGCTAATTTTTGTATTGTTAGTAGAGATGTGGTTTCACCATGTTGGCCAGGCTGGTCTTGAACTTCTGACCTCATGATCCTCCCAAAGTGCTGGGATTACTTGCTCTAGGATCCTCAAAACTCACTCTCATTTTTTTTTAATTCCCTTTGGAAAAGGAAAAGGAAAAAAAAAAATTCACCAAGCCATTGGAATGTACCAGAGCCTACAGAGGCATTTTTAAAAATATGACATCACTTAATCTTCACTGCAACCTTTTGGGGGTAGGTTTTATTATCTACCTTCACAGATGAGTAGAGCTGACCCACACATGAGTGAGTAAACTGATGCTCAAAGGGGCAGCAGAAAAATGCTGACAACAGACAGTAAGGCCATTCTGGGTAATTTAGTTCATGAAGCTCCCTTCGGAGGATTTCATTTCTCCATGTTAAATACACTATTTTTTCCTTTTGAGGTACATCTTTTCAGCAGGAAAATCCACCATCATCATTTCCCATTTGAGTTCCATGAGCTTCTACCTAGAGGCAAAATGGAAATGGGAATTTTATAATGAAGGAAGCAAATGGGGAGAAAAATCTGCCAACTTAACAAGCCAGTAAGAGGCACCAGAAATCTCAGAGAGCTGCCCATGACATGCATGGAGGGTGGTTCTAGGGGATTCCGAACTGGCAAGGCTGCTGACTGAACCCTTTAGCACAGCGATACTCCCTTAGCTTTGGGATGGGCAGGTTTCAAAACAGCACCACAGGAGGCAGCTCAGCACCCACCTCTCATCCCACCTGCAGACAGCAGAGAAGTGCGCAACAGAGCATTTGGGTTAGGACCTGGCTTTCCATTTCCAACTCTGTAACAATGAACTAGTTGCTTAATCTCTTTGTGCCTAAGTGGCTTTATCTATAATAACAGTAACAACATCATATGGCTGTTGGGAGAATTGAGTTGATAATAGGTAAAACTCTTTGAACAGTACCTGGAAGATTAGCACTCAATGAACATTAGCTGTTATTGACATTTACTATTTCTGTAAATGATATTGAATATGAAGCCCTAGTGTTGGATCATCCCACTAAAGAGCATACTTACCACATTGACAATGACCTATGAAAAGTAAAAAACTCAAACAAAAATGAACCTTTTTTTCCCCATAGCCTATTCACACACACATCAAGTGGTAGTAGAAGTTTCCTTGTGTAATGAAAGTTTAAACTATGTAGATCACAAAGTATCATCAGTAGAAAGGGAAGAAGCAGAGTGACTGGGGATTCGTATTAAAAGGCTTAAAGTGTTTCTTATTAATGTCATAAACACAATCAGGTTCTTAGCAAATTGAATCTGAATCACGTCAATGAAACTGTTGTTCAGCCCTCCCCCAAACTCTATAGGATCAAATGAAACAGAGGGTGGATTAAGCAGCCCCAGAACCAGAAAGCACCAGCCTTAGGTGCACCTTTATAAATAAAGTGAGGCCAACTTCCCTCATTGTAAAAGACAGCCTTATAGGAGAAGTAGGCCACCACTAGTCAGAAAAAATTACTACTTTCTCAGTAGATTAGCTGAAAATTGGAGAAATGTTAAGCCACATGACGTTTAGTGACATGGCATATTTCTGTGCACATCTGGAAGAGAAAGAGCAAACCACCCCCTGCAAAGGTGAATTTCACAAAGAATATGGAAACAATGAGAGCACAACCCTGTCCCTTCCAGCCACTACAACATAAGATTTATAAAACTGCTACTTCTGTTGCTGGTGAGTAATCATGCCACATTGTTCTCGTATATGAAAATTAATGGGACAGATGCTGGCTGCAAGGTTCACTGAAATTCAATATAAAAGGTGTTTTTTTTTTCTTTATGGCAATGAGAACAGAGGTGTCCTGCTACATCCAAGTTCTAATTCTGAATTCCTCTTCAGAGCAAAATAACCTTTATAGTTTGCTACATATCTGTGTTAATACGCATAATTTATAGAAGATTATTTTAAGACACAGACAATTTTCTATCTTCAAGCCATTTCTCATTGTCTGGGACATCCTATGAAATCCAGGGTTTGGTGGGACTGTCAATTAAGACAGCTGCTGGTCCACAAGAAATTAGAGGGTAAAACTTGCCCTGACAATGCAGAAAGAGGAACCAGACACAAGAAGGAAATGTACCCATACATTTTGTCTTCTTGACTACATCAAGGGCATATCTTAAACTATCTATCTAGTTATTAAGTAAATTTCTATTAAGAGTTTATTACACATTAGATATTGAGTTAGATGCTATGGATAAAATGATGCATTTCCTGGCCTCAAGAAATAGTCTAATTGAGGAAGACAAAAAGTTAGACATGATCCCTTAGAGTAATATGTGATAAAAGTGCAGGAAGGAGTGGTCAGGTAGAAGGAACATGATGGTCAGGCAATGATTCTTGGAAGAGGTTATCAACCCATAGTGTTGGCATATATGGAGTTTAATTTCCATTGATCCAAACTTCCCACAGCTAAATTAGGATTTAGGAATGGGAAGAAATGGCTTCATTGGATATTATTGAGTTGAACCCACCAAGTCAGTTTGTTGCTTACTAATTTAGATCCCCAAGTATGGAGAAAACAAACACTTAGTAAGTAATAAGTACATGACCTAAAACAAGCTTGTCTACAGAAAATGTACATAAATCAGATATGACACATATAAGCAAATATATGAGTAGCTGGTTGTGTGCAGGTGATCTTATGAAAGAATCATCTCTACTGAGAAGCCAGATAAAAACCAGGTTAACCAAAACTGCTAAGAGCAATTGTCCAACAATTAGGGAACCTAGGGATCCTTTTCTACTATTAACCAAGTCTTCTGTCCCTGGGTAAATCAATCACTTCCAGTTTGCACAACTATGCCCCCATTATGGAATAACAAGGTTTGACAACATTAAGTTTGCAAACTATGCAACTGCAATTCAGAGCTGAGTAGAATGGGGAGGAGGAGGAGGGAAGGCACAGCCAGTGGTCTACCTCTGTCTCTTGTACATATTGGGGCTCCCAGAGAAGCTTCTGCAGGAGAACATGGAGAACATTCTCATCTTGAAAAATCACTGAAGGAGTTGGTCTCTAAAACTCTGCAGCCTGATGTTATCTGGGTGTATGACTCTTTAAATCTTACAAATGTAAAAAAAGTAAGGAAGGGGCTATGATTCCTTGAATTATTTACAATCTGGTATGAGTATTAATTTTTTAAATCAGTTGAGGAGCTCAGTAAAATAAAAATATTCTTCTTGTACCTGAAGTTATAGGGGTAAATAGCTAGCACCTTCTTATTTTATTATTTTTGAAGGCCTGTTTTTTCCTTCAATGTTAAATAAATCATAAATTGCCATATATAATAGGCTGGCACCCTTTTCTGGTATACTCTTCTGATTCAGGTTTTGTTTTTGCCTTTTATCTGTGGATTGCACACTTTAAATAGCCCACTAATTGAGCTCCTTATCTTCACCTTCTAAACCATTTTCCATGTCTCTGCCAGAAAAATCTTGCAGAGGTACAAATGCTGTTCACGGCCCCTCAGTGTCTACAGGGGAAAGTCTAAATTCTCTAGAATGTTGTGTAAGACCCCCCATGACTTAGCATTTTCTCAGTCTCCAGCCTGAGCTCTTGCAAGATCCATCTCACTCTAAACCACAGAAGTTCCCTACAAGTACCATGGTCTTCTCTACACTTCTGCTGTGTCTCTCCAGAAGCCCACCCACCCCCCATTCCTACCTCCATGACAAATAGGCCACTCATCTTTCAAAACTCTGTTTCATCAATCATTGCTCTTCTGCCACTCAAACCTCCAACCCTCAGTAATTCTTTTGAGATCCAACTACATTCTAGGCAGGCAAAGTATAGTAACTTTAAAACTTTATCACAAATACAATAACCAGAAGTCTCCTTGAGAAAAGGAGTTCTAATTTGTCTTTGCATCCCTCTAACCTAGCACAATGTCTGGCACAGAGCAGGCATCCCAAAATATTTGTTGAACACACATGGCAATATGAATGAATGAATACATACTAAACCCAAACTAAGAAAAAAGCATAGGCCAAGCCTAAAAAAAAACTTGGCTGTATAGGAACTGAAAGCATGCCCCTAATGACTCGGCAGTGTTCTCTCCCTTCTCTCTCTTTATTTGTGTCCTACACTGCACCTAACAGAGTGATACAAACATGCAGTTGCTCTACATATACCAGCTGGACTGCAGGACATCCACTGATATAATTATGTAACCTCCGTCACACAGAGAAAAATGGATCTGTGAAAATATTTCTGAGCATGAGTGCGTGTGTGTGTAGTGCACTAGTGATTTTCCATCTGAGAGTTGGAAAAACCTATCTTCTATGACATGGGGGCAGAAGATTATGGATCAAGTACCACGCATAACTAACTAGTGCGAGGTAAGAGTAAGATTTCCTGTTTACTACAAGGTAGCCTACTTATTCTTGGATAAAAACATGAGAGACAAAGGCAGGGTCCAGGTGGAATGCAGTCAGACTTGGCAGGGTCAGAAGGAGACAGCATTATTGTAGGTGCTGATTTTTATTTTCTTGGAAGAAATTGTAATGGTTTCCATTTAATTCAGACCAAAAAAAAAAAAAAAAAGACAGAGAATAGCACATTTGACCTTTTCCTTCTTCACAGATGATTTATCTTATTTAAGCAGCCTGCACTCGGGCCATCTCCACTGATATATCTGCTGGATACTATGGACTAGGTAGACTGGCTGGCTTTGTCATTGAATTTGCAACAGGACCGTCACAAATTGGTGTAAGTCATTTTGCCCATCACCTTGATACTAAATTTAGGCCACATACATTTTCGTAAATTGTTTGTTACTCCATTTGTACAGTCATTTGTCCTTTTCCCCATGAACACAGTATGTGCTCATTTGCTCTGCTTGCGGGGACGCTCAGAACATTTGGTTTAGGAAGGCTCCTTCACAAAACAATTCTGTTATTCTAGACCATTCTTCTCAGCAGCCTTGGAAATTTGCTCCCATCTGGTGGCTCCCGAAAACCAGCTGTCTGGTTCCTTTTCCTCCTGGCCCCCTCTCCAGAGGGCCACAATCCTGTCCCTGCGATTTCACAGGAAGTGCTCAGCCACCTCTGTTTCACTAATGAAAGACCTGACTGAGCCCAGCGAGTGGAAATGACTAGCCAGAGGCAGAGCTAAGACGCTGAAAGTGTTTCACCAAGTACTTCTATGTTTTAGACACTCTGACATTTTTGCCTTGCTTCAAAGACGTTTCCTGTTTTCATTTTGTGACTGACTGGAATATAAAATGTTATTTGGGCTTATGCAGTTGAAAAGAGACAGTGGGCTACTTTGCAACATAAAACACCTTGCTCAAAAATATGAGAAGGGGAAAGGTTTTCTAGTTTGGGCACAAAAAGGATACCCTTGACTCATATCCAAGCAGGTTTAGTAACTTTATACGGCTAGACTCCATTCTCCTTTTCCATAACTAGAGCATTCCACCATAAAACAACTGTGGAACATGTGGAACAGTGGTCTACTCCCTTGAAAAAAAGAAGCACAAGCATACACACAAATAACAATGAAGAAAATATTTTCTGTTTATTTGTGGCTCAATTTCCAGCTATCATTACTTGACACTTTGCTCTTCTGATGTGCACATTTGCTCTGACTTAAGGAAAAGAAATAAGATGTCATTGAATTCACAGCAGGGACCACTGGGGTTTTTATATAGAACAAGAATGGGCAACGAATAGTGAACAAGAATGGGAGGAGAATGAATAAAACTTTAAAAGAATAAGGCTTTTAAAGTTATAAGGCTAAAATAGTTCATTTATGATATTAATAAACCTATGGAGACCTCAAATTATTATCATAGATGTTTAAACAGTATTTGATGAAATTCAAATCCATTCTTGATTAAAAACATATAATGAAATATTTCTATCTCAACCTAAATGCCAGCACTACATTTCAAGGGAAAAGTCTGTTTTTCCAACTTTGATTAGGAACCAAAAAAATGCCAAAAATTTCTACTCTAGTTTAACTAGTTCTGGAGGAAATAGTGAATACAATTATATCAGAGAAAGAAAGTAAAGGCATACAAATTTCAAAGGAAAAAGTGCAGTTCATCACCTGTACATTTATATTTAGGTCTTTGGAAAACATAAAATAACCAATTGCTAAAATATTTTTTTTCTAAAGTGAAAAAATTTAGAAGAGGCCCAAGTTAATCAATACAAGTCAATAGCTTTGATGCATACATGCAAAAGGCCCATTTTGAAGACATAAAAAAGAACAATGTAGGAATAAGCTAAATTATAGATGGTAAAAGTTATTGGAGGAAAACCATTAAACACTGACAGAAAACATAAAAGAATGCTTAAACAAATGGAAAGGCATATCATGTTCCCAGATAGAAAGATTCAATGCTTTTCGAAAGTCTCTAAATCAATCTTGAACTTTAATATGATCCTACTAAAAATACCAACAGAAATTGTTTTTGAAATAGACAAGCTGAATCTAAATTTCATACAAAATATAAACAAGTAACAGTGGTGAAGAACAGCCTAAAAAAGAAATGCAGCAATGAGAGAATAGTTCTTCAATATATTAAAGTACACTATAAAATCTAAAATAATTAAAACAGGTGGTACAGGCAAGAATAGGCAGATTCCATGGAAGAGACTACAAAGTGAGATGTTGACTCAAAGATATATTAAAATTTTTATGTGATAAAGGTGGGATCTCAAATAACTGGGAAAAAGATGGATTGCTTAATAAATGATGTCTGAGTCATACTTTACATCTTTAGAATAAATTCCAAATATATTAAAATCGTTATTATGCTGGCGAGGATGTAAAGGAAAGGGAACTCCTATACACTGCTCGTGGGAATGTAAATCAGTACTACCATTGTGGAAAACAGTATGGAAGCTCCTCAAAATGTTAAAAATATATGAACCAGCAATCCCATTACTGGGTATATATCCAAAGGAAAGGAAATCAGTATATAGAAGAGACATCTGCATGCTCATGTTATTGCAGCAGTATTTTCAATAGTGAAATACAGAATCCACCTAAGTGTCCATCAGGGGATGAATGGATAAAGAAAACACAGTACATATACACAATGGAATACTATTCAGCCACAAAAAGGATAAAATCCTGCCATTTGCAACAATGTGAATGAGGCTAGAGGACATTATGATAAATGAAATAAACCAGTCATGGAAAGAAAAATACAACATGATCTCACTCATGTAGAATCTAGAAAAACTGATCTCATAGAAGTTGAAAGTAGGACAGTAGTTACCAGAGACTAGGGAGAATAGGAGGGAGTGGGAGATGGGAAGAGGTTGGTCAGCAGATATAGTTACATAGAAAGGAATAAGTTCTAGTACTCTGTTGAACAGTAAGGTGACTACTGCCAACAAGCAGCCAGAAGAGAGAATTTTGGATGTTCTCACAACAAAGGAATGATAAATGTTTAAGGTGATTGATATGCTAATTACCATGATTTGATTATTTCACAATATGTACATGTATTAGGACATCACATGGTAAACCATAAACATGCAAAATTATTAGGTGTCAATAAAAATAAATTAATTAAAATTAAAAATAATTACTATTTTATACTCTCAGAATGAGGAAGGTCTCTCAATTTTTGACTCAAAAAACCAGAAGCTATAAAAGGAAAGATTGGCATATCTGTTTATGTAAAAATTTATATTTTCTCCATAGCAAACACCATGAAAAACAAAGTGAAAAAGGCAAACAACTGAAGAAAATGTTTGCATTTTGTTTACCATATATGTCATATTTTGTCTTATATATAAAAGCTCCTCTAAGTCAATTTTAAAAACTGATGGAAATGGACAAAGCATACAAACATATTTCACAATAAATAAAATACAAATGGCCCTTACATATATGTAAGATGCCCAGCTCATTCACAATTTTTAAAAATGTACATTTAAACTACACTGAGATTTTATTCCACCTGTCAGAATGGTATGAATTGATCAGTTTGGTAACACACTAGGTTGATGAAGGCATAGAGATTACAGATTGTCAGTGAGAATATAAAATGCTGTGACTCTATGGAGAGCAATTTATAATATTTATCAAAATTTAAAATGTGTATATACTATTTGACCTAGTGCATTCATTTCTAGGAATTATCTTATAATGTATTTGCACACATGAAAGTTATGTGTCCAAAGTTATTCTCTACAGCATTACTTTTAAGAGAAAACTTTGGAAAGGAAGTAAATATTCATCGATAGGGATGCATTAAACTACAGTTGGTACGTGCAATAGAAGCTTATGTATCTGTTTTAAAGTACCCTTTTTGTGTACTCACATCAAAAGATCTCCACATATAAGTTTAATGCAAAAATATGAATGTGTAGTGTACATATCCTACCAGTTGTTTAAAAAGATGAGAGAACAATACACAGTTTTAAATACTTAATATATCTGAATGTTTAAAAAGATACACAAAGAAACTATTACTGATCCCTTTGGAGAGGGGAATCAATGGCTAAATAACATAGATGGGAAGAAAACTTTACTTTCAACTCTTTTGCTCCCAACAAATATGTAAAGACGTCAATATATGACCTATTTAGCAATCATAAAATGTAAAATAAATATGATAAAGTCACAGTTGTAATTCAAAATTTATTTTCTGTTACAATGCTTTTGTAAATATAAGCAAAGTCTTACCACGATAATCTTCAAATACTAAAGTTCAAAGTAACATTTTTAACAATTTTAAGTTTAGTGGAAGAAATTATGAACTAGAAGTCAAGAGACCAGGATCCTAGGCTTGGTTTTACTCCTTTTCATGCTCTGAGTCCTACATTCCTCTAAAATAAAAAGAATGTGTTGCCTTACATGTACTCTAAGGTCCATTCAGCTTTACTATTCTAAATCTCTGCTGTCCAATAAGGTAGCCACCAGCCATGTGGGTATTTACATTTAAATTTAGATGGGTTAAATAAACTTAAACATCTGTTCTTTAGTTTCATCATCCATATCTCAAGTGCTCGCTCAACTAACACAGGTAACTAGTTGCTACCTTAGTGAACAGTACAGACATTGAACATTTCCATCATCCCAAAAAGTTCTACTGAACAGCACAGTCTAGCAGACTCTATAAACTGAGACAATAATTTAATACATAACATTATTTCATACAACAAGAGAGTTAATACAGAAGGGAAGGACATCTGTCCTCTCCCTTGTACATGTTTATACTTGTAATGTGGTTGAAATGAATAGCAAGGGCAACTATAATGGGAAAAATATGCTATTAAAGGGTAATATGCAGCCTAAGGGGTTTGTGAAAGGAAGGCCACAAACTAGGCCCGGTGATTTTAATGAATCTGAATCCACTTATCCACTCACCTGGGTCTGATAACCCAAGCTGTGAAATCACATTATTATCCATCATTATCATCGCTGAAATATCAAGCGTCTATACTACAGCCATTTCCTGCTTCCTTTTAGCTTACTAGATTTAATGAGGCTGAACGTTATTACTAGTCAAAGACACAGATAAACAAACTACATGTTCTCAAACCAGCTAACCAATCTCCAAAAGGCTGTTCTTTTCTAAATGACGAGATTCTAGAGGCCATGTTCTATTTTTACAGAATGAATGAGAATTAGTGGAGGACTTTAGAGGCAGGCAACCCTGAGTTCAAGTTCTGACTCTCCTGTTCATTAGCTGTGTGACTTGGCAAGTTATGCAACGAGTCCTGTTTTGTAAAATGCGTTCATAATTCCTAGTTCACAGATTTGTGGGAAATAAAAGACCTAAGCATATATAAAGGATTTAGTATACTGGCATCCACTAAGTATTGTAAAAAATGCTCTATTAAACATTTTTTACAATGATTATCTAATCCTCATGGCATCAGTATTAACTAGTAATAGCAGCATGCCATTAATATGCATTAACTTCAGACTATAAGATAGAAAACATATTGTGTTGCCTTCAAATTCTTGTGATTCTATAGGAAAAGGGGAAAGCTAGGCACTGAAAGGTTAAATGTACAGTTGCATAAACCTTGATATACAACATGCTCCAGGAAATAACCTGGTACAATCAATGGCAATGAGAAGGAGCAAGATAAAAGTCATCAAACTACAGAACAACACAATCACTGAGGTTGTTAAACCATTTGGTTACTAATTTATATGTGTATAATGTACGTAGCATCTTCTTTTTCATTTTATTTTTTAAATTTTTTGAGACAGGATCTCATTTTGTTACACAGACTGGAGTGTAGTGATGTGATCATAGCCTACTGAAGCTTCAGTCTCCTGGGCTCAAGCAATCCTCTCACCTCAGCCTCCAGAGCAGCAGGGACTGCAGGCATACACCACCATATCCAGCTATTCTTAGAAAATTATTTTAGTAGAGACAAGGTCTTGTGTTGATGCCCAGGCTGGTCTTGAACTCCTGAGCTCAAGTGATCCTGCCACCTCAGCTTCCCAAACTGCTGAGATTACAGGCATTAGCCACTACACCCAGCATATGTAGCATCTTCTACAGATTAATTGCTTCAGACCAGAGGGCTGATTTTATGCTTTCGTCTAATCTTTTTTTATTTTAAACAAATTGGTGTGCGTGTGTGTGTGTGTGTGTGTGTGCGCGCGTGCGCGCACACGCATGAAGGGAGATCTACTTTTTCCAATTCTTTACATAGATGAACAGTATTACCAAGTCAGATTAATCATGGGGACTCAGCATCATGTGGTTGGCTGATGCTTAGCTAACTGACAACCTTGACAGGCAGACAGCAGACAACAAACATACTTGCCAAGAACTTATGAGTAAAATTATTGATAGGGCAGGTTTAAATCCAGCTTGTTCATGGTGCCTCATATCATGGCATTTATTAAGAACAGGCAGCAGCTTTTTAAATAAGCCAAGACTCAAGAACCCACCTGCAAGCCAGTCCAGAAGGGCTTACTTTTACCTGAGCCAAATAGAATCATGCTGGTTTGAAAATATCTCCCCTATTGATTTGCCAAAATGCTTAAAATTCCCACTGTTGGGAAACTCGTTCCCTTGAAGCAAAGAAAAACTTCTGTTAAAATTTGAGCTTGTTTCCCAATAGAATTAACCCACTTATACCTGCTATGGAATGAGCAAGATGATTTTATCACAAATTGTATATATTTACACGAGATCATGGAGCACAGCTCAGGAAACAGAAGACCAAGATGACTAATCAGGAAGTGGCACAAGAGTTTCTGCTGTGCAAAGAACAGACATTAAGCAATTCAAACAAGCAGGGACATACCCAAGCCAATTATTACATGGTAACTTTAGCTAACAATAGTTCTTTCCTTCTAGTTTTTATTATTAAAAAACCTATTGAGCAACCACTGGTGCCCAAGGAATCAAGCATTGTAGTAGGCTACTTAGGATATAATTCCCTGGAGGAATTCCCAGTTCTATGGGCTTATCTGCACGTATTTTGAAAGCTAATTTTGCAGGGATGTTCTTTTCAGAAATTGTAATCACTCCGGGGTAAGAACTCTACAGGTCCAGAGGATTCAGACATGTTAGGTGTCAGTTGCTTCCAGAAGGATATTCATAATAACCAAAGCTGAACAAGGATAGGACATTTGGCAAATGGTCTGGGAACCATGTGCTTTTCTGAGCCAAATACCTGTATCTGTTGAATATGGACATCAACATAGCCTTTGTGTAAACAAATAGCTGAGATTTTAAGTTAACCAATCAAAAAAACACAGAAGACTATCCTCCTTCTCCTTTTGCCCCCAATCCCACTCTTCTCTATGTGCCTTTTCTAACAATTTTCTTTCCCAATCTTTGAACAGTTTCCACACTTATCCGTCACTGGGCAATCTGCTTCCAAAGGTAAGAGGTGGTAGGTAAGTGGCACTGGGGTTCTCGGGTGGTTGTTAACCTTTGTTGGAGGAGGCTGGAACACCGTATCTTTGCAAATTTTGCATCTGTCCTTGGTAACTTCATCCTAAAGAGACAGTTCTCAGGTTCAGATTCTCAAAGAATGTTCATTAACAATCTGATCTCCTCAAAACACTTGCAAAAGAAAAACTGACACCCTGATAAAGTACATTAGAAACTACTATATAATTTGGACTGTTTGCAATTTCAATAACAAGTTTTATAAAGCAATAGGCAACTACAAGGGGCAAGGTCAAGATTTCATTGCGATGATAGCCTGCTCAAAGGAAGCTCTAACATCCCCATCCTAATTTTTGCTCTGGGAAAAGTCAGGATAAAATTGTTGAAATTATTGAAAGAAATACAAAGTACTAAATTTTCTGCAAGAAATGGATGAGGAAGAACCTAAGAAAGACCCTAAATTGCAGCCATTCTCTGCCATTATGAAAAAAAAAATCTATGGTTGGGCACGATGGCTCATGCCTGTAATCCCAGCACTTTGGGAGGCTTTGGTGGGCAGACTGCTTGAGTCCAGGAGTTTGAGACCAGCCTGGACAACATGGCGAAACTCTGTCTCTACAAATTATGAAAAATTTACTGGGCATAGTGGCACATGCCTGTAGTTCCAGCTACTCGGGAGGCTGACGTGGGAGGATCACCTGAGCATGGGGAGTTGGAGGTTGCAGTGAGCCATGATCATGCTGCTGCACTCCAGCCTGGGCAACAGAGTGAGACTGAGACCCCATCTCAAGAAAAAAAAAAAAAAAAAACTAGAGCATTTAATGGCTGGCTTATTTCCCACCTCAACTTACTTTCCAATTCAGAGCAAAATCTCATTTAAAAATGCTCTTTTTAGTCCCTAAGTACAGTTGGATATTCATTAAATCACATCTGAAGAATCCACAATGCATTCCTTCCAAAAGCTGTGTTCCTGACTCTTGGATTGTATGAGATGAATGCCTCAATTAGGGCTGTCTTTCAAGTTATACCAAAGGCAGGTGTGTACAGACGTGCTAAGGTGAAGAGCAAGCAAGAGAAAAAGAGGAGTCTTGCAAGAGAGTAACAACAGATTTAAAATATGGTCATTGTCATCCTTTGTAAACTCCATCACTGGGGAAGCTGCCCAGGTCAAGCCATCTCCTAAAGGCTGGATACTGATTGGAGTCTAGGTGGTCTCTGAGTGAGTCCCTCACTAATGTACAGGGTTTGTATACAAATCTCAAAATGGCATAGCCATAGGGAACTGTGATAAAGATGAAACTTGCTTGTGGGAGGAGAGGCAATATCAACTATCCTCTTCTAAGTCTTCCTTCCCACTGGGAAAAGATTCCAAACTGCCAACATCAATCTCAGAAGAACTAGTCCTCTCCATAGAGAGAGAATACCCAAAATTGACCCTGTCACTAGTTCCAGATGTTTCTTCTTATTATTAGCAGGCCAGGTTTCACATGGTATGACTATTATAAGGATATATAAATTACTTCTCAGAAATCTTAAAATTGTTTTACATCTGTCTCAGGAAGAACTGTTTGAAGCTCTATGACATTTTGAATAAAGCACAAAGCTATATGCCCTGTAATTTCCAAAAAAAATCTCAAACCCTTTAAGAAGAATGTGGGCTGGGCACGGTGGCTCATATTTGTAATCCCAGCACTTTGGGAGGCCAACGGGGGCAGATCACTTGAGGCCAAAAGTTGAAGACCAGCCTGGCCAACATGGTGAAACCCCCTCTTTACTAAAAACAAAAAAAATTAGCCGGGCATGGTGGTGTGTGCCTGTAATACCAGCTGCTCAGGAGGGTGAGGCAGGAGAATCACTTGAACTCAGGAGGCGGATGTTGCAGTAAGCCAAGATCATGCCACTGCACTCCAGCCTGGGTGATAGAGTGAGACTCTGTCTCAAAAAAAAAAAAGAAGAAAGAGGAGGAGCAGCAGCAAACTCTGTGCTATCTTAAAAATGAAACCTTAGAGAGGACATTTAATTAGTTTTTGACTGTCTTGCATATAGTTCCCTTTTTCTTGGTAATGACACCCAAGTTGTCATTTAGGCATCCATTCCTCTCCATACAGTGTTTCAAGGGAAGTTGAGTGAAGCCACAGCTGTAAAGTGGATGGTGGTATTGGGGGAGGGGCTGAGACTGAGACTTATCAGCAAAATCCCATCACTATCCACAGGGATCAGTTCAGTGATAGGCATATGACCTAATCACATTGAAGCTCAGAAGTTCTTTTCTTTTCTTTCTTTTTTTTTTCCCCCACAGACTAAGGGAGGAAGTAGGAGGAGTAGGTATACCAACAGGTATAATCCCTGTTGGATTAGAATAAGGAATGAGATGCTCATGGCCAATTTAGGAACAGGAAGACAAGACCTGCTGAGAATAGAGCCAAGGCCAGGAAACTAGATTGAAATGGAGGGAGAGAAGGCAGATCTTGATCACAGTGTTGCAACTGCTAAAGCAAACCTCAGCTGAAATCAACCCTACCTCCATGATCCAAACTGTCATCTTCACTGGTTAGTTTAATATGATATTTCTGGTAGCTTGCAATTTAAGTTGTCCCAGCTGATCTAAGCATCTAATAAAAAATGTTTTCAAAAAATCAAATAGGTGTTAAGTTACAGAAGGAAAGAAGGAGGGAAGGAGGGAAGGAGGGAAGGAGGGAAGGAAGGAAGGAAGGAAGGAAGGAAGGAAGGAAGGAAGGAAGGAAGGAAGGAAGGAAAAAAGAAGAGCACTGCATCAAAAATAAAAATTTTCAATAACCAAATTGGGACATGCCAAGCAATCTTTTTCTTCTCTGTCTAGTAACAACTCATTCCCTTGTGTTTATTTATTTATTCATTCATTCATTCTTTTTTTGGTAACTACTCATTTGTCATTTCCTTGAAACAATTGATATGATAATACTCTCAGCTAAAGGTGGTTTGTGACTGGCAAAGAGTGGCTGCTATACTATTTTTATGTAAAGTGTAAAATCTCAAAACAGATCAACTCACCAGAAAGAAAAGTTTAGATGGATCAGATTTGGAGTGAACTATGCCCCACCATTCATGTATTTCTAGCCTAGTGAGAAAGTGGTGTACAGTGAAATTTGATCCACTTTCTCGAATAGAAAATATCTATCTATGGCAGAATATGGTGGTGACAAATGGCTGAATCACACCAACTCGCACTGCTCAGCTGGCTCTCGTGGCCAGCCCACCTCTTGCCTTGTCACCTGCCAGTCTAGCCAATCTCCATAAAACAAAACAGCCATTTCAAGAGAAGAAGCAGGTTCCTACGTATGGTCATAAAACCACATAGAGCCACTCAACCTGCTGCAGGACACATCCCATTCTGCTCAGCAATGAGAAGAATCCAAGACTATAGTGGTTTTACACCTTATCAAATGCTCCTTAGAAACCCTCACAGAGTATCGTCCCCAGCTTTTTAATAAACAAGTATGGACATATTCAAATTTGGAAATTAACTTGTAGCTATAAGACATGAGACAGTGGATGAAATTCTAATAAACATTCAAAATTTTACCCAAGTATATTATAGATATGGTCTGTCCATCTGCCATTCCGCATGCTATGTAATGTCCAGTTGCTGTGATAATGCTGTCCATTTGTAGCCGTGAGCATGGTAGGTGCAAAATAACTTTTGTTAAATGAATTCACCATGTTTATTGAACACCAATTAAGTGTCCAGCAATGTATTAGGGGAAATGAAAAGCAAAAATGAAGGTGCCAGAAGTGAATCTCTCTTGGGGAGTTTGCGTTTGAACAAGTACACAACACACTATGAAAAATTTAAAACATCTACATGAAAGAAGCAGTCTAACAAGGTTACAAGGGACTGCAAATGTATGCATTAAGACAATTCTAGAAGGACAACCTGCTCAGATCTGAGAGAGGTTAATCCAAGAAGTCTCATGAAGGAGGTGAACTTTTCTTGATTCCCAAAAGCAGGGTTTACGTGGAAAGCATGAGACTAGCATTCATGGAGAGGAAACACAAGCTCTTCAAAGAGGCCCTGTCTCCGCATTGTAGCTCAAGTAACTAGCACTGTATCTGCTACTTAATTAGACATTCAGCAAATGTTTGTTGAATAAATGACTGACACTCAATAGGCATTTGTTGAATAATAAGTGTGTAAGTACACAAATGCATTCTACTGACTAGTAGATATTAGAATTCATCTGCAAGATAGCCAGGAAATCTAAGCACCAGTTTGAAGAATATATGGAGATTAGGAAGGGGAGTGGATGAAGCTGGCTTTATTCTAAGAAACTAGAGAGTTTGCCCTGCAAATACCAAAGGAAAGGGGTAAGTTGAAAATATCATGGGTATATAACGTAGGGGATGAGAGAGGTCAAAATTTGGCAACAGGTGCCACCCACTGTGTAATTCCCAGGGCTCCCTGACCTGCTGTTTTGCTTTCTGCCAGGGTAGCTTATGCTGTTGGACAGAGCGCGGGTGGTGTTTACACCAGAGGAGACCATCTGGAAATGCAATCAGAGACCTGAGCCTCGGGGGATTATTGGACCCAGTCGAGCATGAAAGGAAGATCTGTGCCCAGAGCTCTTTGGTTCTGCCATGACCTTAGCTCCACGCAGCTATAATTTTGACCCTTTAATGTAACTAATTTGACTACAGTTACTTTTGCAGGCTCCAGCTCAGTCAATTCTCATCAAACAGCAGGAACTATATTGAAGCAGGTGACAAAAGAGTAAAAAGCAAGTTATTTCCCAAACTACTACAGTCACTCATCGTCAATTATTGATCAGAGAAGGTTTTGTAATGTAAATTCTACAGGACAAACACATGTGGTAGATAATGCCATAAATACACATCACAGACAATGTGATTTTAAAATGGAATCATATCAAAAATACCTGCATGAGTCTTTCAAAATATCTGTGAACTCATACAAACTTCAGACCTTCCTGGCCTTACTAACACTATGATAATATATGTGGCAGAAGCACCTTCGCAGGCTCAAATTATTCAGTGCCTGAACTATTGTATATTCTTCAGTTTTTAAAATTAAATTTCCTGCTGGCCACAGACAGATCCCTCTGGGACACACCCTCATTTCTTTAAACCCTGAGGTAAGACTAATTTTCCTGGCTAGATCCTATGAATATAAGGCCAGATCTTTATTATGCTAAATTGTAGACCAGCCTGCACACAGAAAGATTCCTATACAGCCTGCCATGAACACTGTCAATCTCTTTGGGAATGGTCACACAATTCTGTCTAATGATGCAATGAAAGCCAGACTTTCAAAGGCAAACAATCGAATAAAGAGAAAGAAGAAGAGAGGTAAAAGAAAAAGTTGAGGCAGAAATAATTTATCTTCTTTTTGAGTAAAATTTGCCAAGGAAAGCTACCCAAGTGTTGCCAGAGAAAAATTATATTTGTGATAGCTGACCTTCAAATAGATTCTTGATATTTATCATCTAAAATTCAAGCTACAGAAACTCAGCCTTTCATCTCAAGAATTTTAACCATGCTGTTGTGTTTATCTTGTCCAAATGAGTATGCAAAATCTTCCTATTATTCACTCATTAGAATTCATTCCAAACTCCACATTACTTTGTAGAGAAAGAAGGAGAGGATCACCTCACTAAGGAAAAAAAAAGGCCCATTTTCTCCCAGTGACTGTGGAACACCATATGGAAAGTCTTACTCAAATGGCCATTGCTCTTCTAAGACAAATACCTTGCATAATTGTAGCAGTTAGAACTAAGACTGCTCAAATATTGGCAGAAACTATCTGACACTTCTTCACTTACTTTCAGGTACAATATCCATGACATTAAAAACACTATATCTGCTGTACAGTGGTGCTTTATTAGCAAGATTGTTAATTAGAAAAGCAATCAGTTTCATGAAAAATATAGCTTCCCACCTTCTGTTACGGTACCCTGAACCAGAAAAAAACAAAATATAATTCTAGCAAAGAGCCAGCAAACCCACAAGCCAAGGACTTTCATGGGCCCTTAAAGCTCAGTTTTTCCTAGTTTTAAGGTCACTGCCTGCCAAAGCCCAATGAACAATCTTCCTTCCAGGGGTTTATAAAATTATCTTATGAAGGAGGTATATCAATTAGAATTGGATTTAGCATCATACAACTAAAACAAAAACAAAACAAAATTAACAAACCTAATATAACTGCATTTATCTCTCAAACAAAGTAACAAACTTCATGTAACTGCTTCTCTCTCAAATGAAATAAATCCAGAAAGAGGCTATTTGAGGGCTGAAATGGGACCTTCAGGTCATCAGGGATGCAAGCCCCTTATATTCTTCTACTCCACACCTAAGCACTGGCCTCCATTCTCCAGGCCACCTCCTGTCCTGGGACAGTGACTGAAACTCCACCCACCCAGTGATGTTATTCCAGGCCAGGAGGAGGATAGGTAGTAAAGTGTATTAGTCCATTCTCATGCTGCTAATTAAGACATACCCAAGACTTGGTAATTTATAAAGAAAAGAGTATTAATGGACTCACAATTCCACATGGCTGGGGAGGCCTCACAATTATGGCGGAAGACGAAGGAGGAGCAAAGGCATGTCTTACATGGCGACAGGAAAGAGGGAGCATGTGTAGGGGAACTCCCCTTTGCAAAACCATCAGATCTTGTGAGACTTATTTACTATCACGAGAACAGCACAGGAAAGACCCACCCCCATGATTCAATTACCTCCTGCCAGGTCCCTCCTGCAATTACGGGAGCTACAGTTCAAGTAGAGATTTGGGTGGGGACACAGCCAAACCATATCAGAAAGCAAATTCCTTTCCTGCCAGCTGAATCTGCTCTCTTGGAGGATGTCCCAGAATTCTCATACAAATCCTATTTACATCCCATTGACCTGAGACCCATGGGTTCACCTAGGTATAAGACTAGGAAATGTAGCCTTTTATCCCAGCTGGCAACGTGCATGACTCAAAAACAGGGTTCTATTTCTAGGTGAAAATAGACTATGGGGTTAATCCAAGAAGTCTCATGAAGGAGGTGAACTTTTCTTGATTTCCAAAAGTAGGGTTTAGGTGGAAAGCATGAATCTAGCATTCATGGAGAGGAAGCACAAGCTCTTCAAAGAGGCCCTGTCTCCGCAATGTAGCTCAAGTAACTAGCACTATATCTGCTACTTAATTAGACATTCAGTAAATGTTTGTTGAATAAATGACTGACACTCAATAGGCATTTGTTGAATGCCTAAGAGTGAACCAGTATTCTATGACCGTGTCACAGAGGGTGCCTCTAAATGTAATGGCAAAAGTTACAGACTACTTGAATTTCAAAGGTAGATGACCTAAGTTAACTTGCCATCCAAGCTTTGTTCTTTCTCTCTCCTCTCCTCTTTTCCTGTCTCTTTCCTTTTTATAACAGTTTCATGTCTGTCTCTTCTCTATCTTATACAAGTTACTTAACTTCTCTGTGTCTCAGTCCCTTCATCCAAAATGTGGAGAAAACAATAGTCCTGACCTCAGGCTATTGTAAGGATAACTGTGTTAATACTGTACTCATTTTTAGAAATTCCTCTGTTCAGACACTCTCCTTTCCCTGCTCTTTGAATGTATTCTCATCTCTCTTAAACTAGCAGCTAGAAAAACTTAAGTATAAAATACTTTTTTTTTTTTTTGAGATGGAGTCTCCCTCTGTCACCCAGGATGGAGTGCAGTGGTGCGATCTCCGCTCACTGCAAGCTGCGCCTCCCGGGTTCATGCCATTCTCCTGCCTCAGCCTCCCGAGTAGCTGGGACTACAGGTGCCCGCCACCACACCCGGCTAGTTTTTGTATTTTTAGTAGAGAAGGGGTTTCACCATGTTAGCCAGGATGGTCTCCATCTCTTGACCTCATGATTGCCTGCCTCGGCCTTCTAAAGTGCTGGGATTACAGGCGGAGCCACCATGCCCAGCCAGTATAAAATACTTTTAAAAGGCATTTGCTATATGCCTTAATTAATAGTTTGTGCCCTGGGTTATTAATTTTCAAATGAGGCGATTTTTTTACCTGCATGCCTACAATTAATAAAAACTAATAAACACAAAACATATACAATATAACTAAATTTAATGTTTTTCTTTTCCCGTTATGTGGTTATTTTTCTTCCTCACTTCAGTGACTCTCAGTAAGAAATATTACTTATGTGGTGTAGAAGTGGATTTTTTAAACAAATCAATCTTCCTAATGTTCACATATGGTCTGTGTTGTGTATGTGTGTATGCTGAAACTCACTGCAAATTTAACAAATGTCTAATGTGAATATTTTGGAAGTGGTACGCTTTGTTTCTTATTACACATAACTTCCTTTCGCCAATTATACTGTTATTAAAACAATTAGCTTTACATGCATCTGCAGAAACATAAATTTACTTTAATCACCTCTTTTAAAATATCCAAAGGGATTCAGGAAACAAGATATGTAAAGCCATTTCTTCCATTTATAAACTGCTAAGATTTATTGATCTCAGCCAACCCAGAAGTAGGGGCCATTGATGAGAATCCATCAGCAATGCGTATGAATGTAGGAGCAACCTCCAACTCTGATCCAGGAAAGGATTTAGAAATGGTCAAAGCTATTTTCAGTATGTTTATTTTGCCTGACAAGTCCCTTCAGGAATTGAAAGCAGTTTCTGCACCTTTCTAGGCCTATGCAGCCATAAAAAATGATGAGTTCATGTCCTTTGTAGGGACATGGATGAAGCTGGAAACCATCATTCTCAGCAAACTATCGCAAGGACAAAAAACCAAACACTGCATGTTCTCACTCACAGGTGGGAATTGAACAGTGAGAACACTTGGACACAGGAAGGGGAACATCACACACCAGGGCCTGTTGTGGGGTGGGGGGAGGGGGGAGGGGGGAAGGATAGCATTAGGAGATATACCTAATGTAAATGACGAGTTAATGGGTGCAGCACACCAACATGGCACATGTATACATATGTAACAAACCTGCACGTTGTGCACATGTACCCTAAAACTTAAAGTATAATAAAAAATATAAAAAAAAAGAAATAGAAGAAGAGAAACTGCTAAAAGCTTACAATCACAGACATAAAACAGAATGGATTCTTATAAGAACCAAGACCTTTGGAGTTAGATAGCTGTTGTATTCAGAAGCTTTGCCTCTTCTAGGTTGTATGTCTTTAAATTATTCCATTTTTAAGCTTCTGTTCCCATTTTGAAATGGAATAATGATAGCTACTATATGAAGATTTTCATGAAAGTTAAATAAGATAACATAAGTGAATTGCCCAGATTGCAATAATCAAAGTTACTTTTCTTTCCATCAGTAGAAGGTAAAATCATGGCATAGATTTGGTCAGTATGCTACAGTTTTCAAAGCATTGTGACAGTTTCATTTGCTCAGTTACATTTTATTTATTGTGGACAAAGGTGTTTACTTACATCCAAAGGCATGTGTTAAAATCTGCTGGAAACTTCAAGTATCAAAACATTTCCAAGTATTGAACTGACCTGACCAGATGTTAAATACGCCATGAAACTAATAGTGATGGATTCCTTTAAAAGCAAACCAACTCTTCCAATAAATGTGGTATAATATAAAACAATGTAGTATTCAGGCTTCCAGCCAGCCTGAATTGTGTGAACTATAGTTCACACAATTTTAGCATAATAAAACTGAATTTATAATGACTTGAGTGGGACACCCCCTTAAGTTTCTTATGGGTGCTTAAGTTTCAACATTTTCTTGATGTTGCGATAGCAGTAGCAGTAAACTGCAAGATGCCTATAGCAGACTGTTAATTAGGTCAAGGATCAGTATGGGGTTACTGATTCAAAAGATACCCTGCCAATACATCCTTGTCCTGCTGACATTGTTTTGGAGGAAGCCATCAGTCACTTGGTGCAAGAACTACCAAAAAAAAAAAAAAAAAAAAAAAAGAACAAGGACAGCATTCAAGCAAGTATAAACCAAACTACCACACACACACATACCTTTGGTCATAATTGTTAGAAAGGGTTCCATCTCTGCTGGCTGTCAGAGACTCTATATTTATTTGCTTCTGTATCTTTTCTGCCATTTTTCACTTAAAAAATGTCAGAGCTAATATTTGTAGCCACATCAATTCATAAAACATGGCCTCCTCTGTTGGCTTCTTGGGTACCAATGAAAATATTGATGGCAAAACCTTGCCTGAAAGTGCTGCTAAAAATAAACTTCATAAATTTCTCATGCCATTGTTATTTGTCTCCTGAGACTGTTTCTATTTGCAAAACAATACACCTTCATCTAACACCCCTGCATATAAAACCAAACTGTAAACTTCCAAAATAAGAATATAGAAACAAGAATTCAAAAAACCTAAGTCTGTATCTGGCTCCCAAATTAATTATTAATTTTTGTCTGTCAAGCCAGGGTCTGCCTTTTTAATAGGCTAAATATCAACCTATTACCTAAAACAAACTAAAAACACTTTGCCTTTTAGAAATCTCCAGTACGACTGGGAGGCCTAGTGGCTGCTGTGCTATTACTATTCACAAATACACAATTTCCTCAACCTATAGGCATCAGGTTTGGCCGTTTGCCTCATTTTGATCAACAGACTGTGAGCAGAAGTGACATTGTCACTTTTTTTTAAGAGAGGGAGACTTACTCTCTTACCTAGGCTAGTGTCAGCATAACCATCTCTCCAAACACTCTCATCAAAATGAAACTGGTTGGTTATAGAAAAAAAAATGTGAGCATCCACATAGAGATAATCAAATGAAACTACAACATTTATCCTCTGTCTTCCACACTCTTAGTGCTCCTAAGAAAAAGTTCTGTTGAGTGATATCGTATCCATGGTAATTAGAGTTCAGGGAAATATTTGAGGCAATACTCCAATTACAAAGGTAAGTTATTGGAAATAGTTCAGATGACCATGGTCTAGCTCAAGCTTTTTGTTTGTCATGTCCAATCAGAGGTTTGAAAGAATGCATTATGCCCCAAGTTTCACTTAAATCAAATAAAAATGCCCTTCTATTGGTCAGTGGAAATGAAGCTCCGCTCTGATCACAGACAAAGATATATTGTGTATGTATAAAGAAAAAGTAGTTTACAGTAATACTTGGAATAAATATAAAAAGGCTGCTCATACTGGGAGGCAAAATAGCACACATAAACCAGGCTTCTAATCTTGGATGCACTTCAGAACAATGATTCCCACAACCTCTTTTCACAAATATCCCTTTGACACTGTAAAGACGTTAAGAAAAGTGAGAATTCATGCTTCCTGGTTTCTCTCTAACACATAAAAATGACATAAGTGTGTTTGGATTCCCGCTGTGTTTTTTTCAAGTACATCAGACTCTGAGTCATGCTACTCCCTGAAAAAGCTGATGAGCCTTGCATTTCCTGTAAGTAGAGGGTAAGACAAATATTAAATAAAGGAAACTACTCTGGGCATGAGTTTATAAAACTGTCAAAAAGAACTTAAGGGTCCAAAAATGTGCCCACAAAATTGGTATGTGAGGTACTTCAGCCTCACAAATGCTTTTCTGATGCTCTTTTTACTGTCTTTAGAAAAAGATCTTAAACTCAGCCAAAGTGGGAGTAGAACTATTCTGGGATTGCTAATAGCCATGACGCTTGTAGTTCCATAAAAGGATGGGAAATCTGGCTCTTATTCCAGACATCAGAGGTAAAGAATTGGCCTTAGCATTCAATTACACAGTGTGCCTTTCACCTTATAACTAAAACATTAGTGACTTGAGAACCACAAGTATACTAAAAAGAGATAAAATTAATCACACCAGAATGAGGAACTTAAATACAGTCAGCCCTTTATATGTATGGGTTTTGCATCTGTGGATTCAAAAATATGCCCCAAAACATTCCAAAACATTGCATCTGTATTGAACATGTACAAACTTTTTTCTTGTCATATTCCCTAAACAATGCAAATAAAACAACTATTTACATAGCAGTTACATTGTATTATGCATTATATCTAATATAGAGATGATATAAAGTATACAGGAAAGTGGGCTAGATTACATGCAAATACTATGCCATTTTATATCAGAGACTAGAGCATCCATGGATTTTGGTATCTCTGGGACATCCTGGAACCAATTCCCCAAGGGTATCAAGGGACACTACTTGCTATACCTCCGTATACCACTCATGTTTCACACCTAGCCTGATTTTGCCTTTGGAAGGCCTTAATGCTTGTATATCCAGACAGCATGAATTGGAATCTATTTTGTAAGATAAAGTATACAAAACATTAAACCCTCAGATGACTTGAGATATGCATATCCTACATGTAATTATTAATCTATAAAATTATTTTCTCAAGAAATGTGTAACTTTTTTATTTGCTAATTGGTTTAGATAAGTTCCAATGCTCATAATTCTAGTTCATGGGTTCAATCCCTGCCAAACATCCCCAGAACTTTGTATAATAATGTACTAGGTACTATTGATTGAGAGACAATTCTCTGTGAACATGTTCACATTTCTGCATGATCTGGGGTTTCTTAGCAAAGAGTACTGGCAACCTTGGCTAAAGAATGACTGAATGGACAGTATGTCTCAGAAGTAAAAGACAATGAACTGTTCCTGAGAGGTTTAGAGATGCGTCTCCTCTGGAGCCATATGCTCATGAAATAAAACCTGGAGGCATCTTTTTACTCTCCCCGAGAGTCATTTGCTTACATGCCAGAATACATACAAGTCTTTCTATCTCTGGAGGGGAGGAAGGGCAGATGTGCCCAGCTGCCCTGTGTAAGCTCCAAGTTTCATAATTCCAGGGTTCCTCTCATGCGGTGCAACACTGCTGCCCATGGGGATAGATATCTGGCCCTCATCGCGTTACTCCACAGGAACTAGGGCTGGAGGAACTAGTGCTAAGATGTTCTGTGACTAATACACAATCTGTTCTCTGATCTAGAGATATCTATTCCCTAATAGCATATGACTAAATACATAAAAATCACTGTTCATCACACAAAGGAAGTATCAGTTATAATTCCTAGAGGCAGACTCGCTTTTCTCCCGATATCTTGCAAATACGGTTTATTGGACATATTGTGGAGATGACCTGAATTAGAGGAATGTAAAGATGAGAAACTTGATGTAAAGATGAAGAATTTGAATAATGAGTCGAACTGTAAAGATTCAACAACATCTTGAATTTTTTACCTATAGTTTTTATTAATATATAAGAATCCTGTATTGCAAACCCTTTCTCAAGTCAACAGTTAAGGGGCTAATTAGGAAATGTTAGCTTATGTGAGGCTTTGTTGAATAGTTCCATGTCAAGAGGAAATTGGCTCAGGTCACTTAATGTATCATTTGTTGTTTTAAGGACTATTACTGAGACACAAAACTGAAAAGGAGGGAAATTGGCTATTGATAGGGTGAGGTTCCTAATTCATAGTTCACTGTCATTAATGTTATTCCCTTTAATTCTTCCAAATTCAAGACCTAACAACTGTGTAGGGGGTTGAAAATATGAACAATATGTAAAAGTTTGGGAAAAGAGGTTATTTTATTCGAAGGAAAGGATTCTGGGTATGGCCAGTAATTAATGCAAAGCAAGAAATGCCATAAAATGTATGTTATTTTAAATAAAAGGCACAAAATACATATCCAACATTAGATGTATAGACCAACCTATAGTGTTGAACTCCTATACCATACAGAGTCTAGGAGTTTAATTCCCTTCTTAAAACATGTAACAATGTAACAATATGTTTTTCACAAATATCTGATAGATTTTGTTTTATACTTGAATCACCAAATAATTCTTTCCGAATTTATTTTATTTTTAGAGGCAGGGACTTGCTCTGTCACCCAGGCTGGAGTGTAAGTAGCACAATCATAGCTCGCTGCAACCTCGAACTCCTGGACTCAAACAATCCTCCTGCCTCAGCCCACCAAGTAGCTGGGGACTACAGGTCTATGCAACTGTGTCCGGCTCAAATAACTCTTTAAGTTTTTGTTTTGTTTTGTTTTTGAGAAGAAGTCTCACTCTGTCGCCCGGGCTGGAGTGCAGTGGCGCGATCTCGGCTCACTGCAACCTCCGCCTCCCGAGTTCAAGTGATTCTCTCGCCTCAGCCTCCCGAGTAGCTGGGACTACAGGCGCCCACCACGCCCGGCTATTTTTTTGTATTTTTAGTAGAGACAGGGTTTCACCGTGTTAGCCAGGATGGTCTCGATATCCTGACCTCGTGATCTGCCCCCCTCGACCTCCCAAAGTGCTGGGATTACAGGCGTGAGCCACCGCGCCCAGCCTAAGTTTTTATAACATGTGGAACACGGGTCCCCAACTCCCAGCTTACTGACTGGTACCGGTGAATGGTCTTGTTAGGGACCGGGCCACACAGCAGGAGGTGAGCAGCAGGTGAGCGAGTATTACCTCCTGAGCTCCGCAGCCTGTTAAATCAGTGGCAGCATTAGATTCTCATAGGAGCACGAACCCTATTGTGAACTGCACATTTGAGGGATCTAGGTTGCATGCTTCTTATGAGAATGTAATGCCTGATATCTGAGGTGGAACGGTTTCATCCCTAAACCATCTCCTTTCCCCAACCCCACTCCATGGCAAAATTACCTTCCATGATACTGGTTCCTGGTGCCAAAAAGGTTGGGGACTGCTGATATAGACTATACACCAGCATGTAAAATGTTAAAGTACTATTTCCCTCATGTAATGTGTACACAAGACCGTAAAACCTATTTGATGGGAGAAGGCTTAAAACATAAAAATTGTTTTAATGTGAATCCATCATGAACCCAGAAATCCTCATGTCAACAAATCATTCCAATTTAATTTGACCCAGCACCTGACAATAAGTATGCACAAACTAGTGAATTATTAATACTGATTCACCTTCCTTGATGTCATGAGTAGTCTTAAGATATTTATGCATCCTTATCTTTTGATTACTTTCTTTTTTTTTAGAGGCTTGATAAATATCTTTCTTATAACATTCTTGTGGATTACGTATTTGCTGGCACAAAAGTAGCAACAGCAAAATCATTAGTTGCTCCATAAAATCAGTTCTTTATCACTCAAAACTGTTTCAACCTTACATGTAGAAGAATCAGGTGGGTCTGCTAAAGTAGATTAAAAATATAAAATAAACATTATTTGTGCATAAAGATGATTCTCTGAGGAATGTACATTCAAAAATAAGAGGTATAATTCAAAAGTTCTCTAATATCTTACAAAAGAAATTTTAGACAAGTCTGATTTTCAAGTACATGAGCTTACACAAATCTAAAACATGTCACATTTCCATATAACGCAAGTTAAAATGAACAACTTTTGTTTCACAGGATGTTCAATGCTTTTGTTTGTATTAGGAAAATAGCTCCTTTTAATCACATGCCTCAATGCTGAGAAAGTTTAAACACAGAGTGAAGAAGTCAACCAAAAAGGGAATATTCCTAGCTCTACTATACCACAGATTGATTTTTTTAAATAAAGAAAAATGCAAATATAAAGATTTTCTAATTTATCTAACAGCATGTTTCCCCCATTCAAATGCAAATGCTCTCCATATGTTCTGACTTTGCACATGTAATAAATATTATATGAAGGTGGCTTAGTGACCCCACAAATGGGTTCAAGTCAATAATTTCAGATGCTAGAAGAAAATAGAGTGTGTAGCTAGGCACTTCTGATCTTCTGTAATTGTCACCTCCATGGAATGCCTCTAGTCCATCCCTATTGATGTCTAAGCCTGGTCCAGGGAGCCCTGTTAGGAGTCTCTGTGAGACAGCAGAAAAAGACAGAGAGGAACAAAAGCATTATTCCATGGTGAGAAGTGCTCAAATTAGCGAGAACATTCTTAGGTGCACTAATGCAGAATCCTCCTACACAGTTTCATTGTTGTCATTTTTGTTCAACAACATTTGCCAAGTTCTTTAGGCCTTAGGGAAGCTCTGTCAGCTTTGGTAGAGACTTTATGCAAGCACTGCTTAGAGGTGCATCATGCCAAAAGATATAACCTTATAACTAGTCACTCTTAGAGAATTTTTTTTTATAATGAGGGACATTTCAATTTTATATTCAATATTGTTTGAACAATGACAAATTTTTAAAAATATGTGTATAGCCTATCTTCTGCCTTTTGGAACTTATTTAATTTTCATAACATCTAAATCAATCAGCATGTGAATAAAAATAAAATATGAATTTTTATAGATGTCAGGAAAAATGTCAGGGAAACACTTAACTGGGCTTTGTGTTTAGGGCTGAAGAGGCAATGGCATTCATTTGGCATTTCTTCTAATGATATCCCAGTAGAATAGTACAAGCCTCAGAGATAAAGTGGAGCCAGAAGCCCTAAATTCCAGTCCTGATTCTGCTCCTAATTAGCTGACTAAGCTTAAGAAAAATCATTCAAACTTCCTGAGACTTGGAATTTTAATATCTACCTTGTCTAGTTCACAAAGTGAGGATATAAAGAAATAATATGCTCCAGATTATTTATAAAACTTTTACAGGACCATATAAATGTGTCAGGACATCTTGGTCACGAGGCATTAATAATATGGAAATTCATATGCTTGTAAGTGTTTCTAAATGTTGAGAGTTTTCTACTTCCTTAAAGGTACTTAATAAGGAGAGGAAAGGAAGAAGGAATTACAAGCATTTAAACTTAAGAATCTAAGTAAGAATCATGCTGGAATTCAGGTGACTTGGATGTGGCTTAGGATCTGTGGGGTAGACCGTCATCGGAAGAGAGGATAGAAATGACCCTGGAGAAAGGGAGTCAGAGCTAAGGACATGTGTTCCCCCAACAACAGGGACACACATCCCCAGCCTCAGTTGAGGTGCTCATGTGTGAGTCTTAGGATGAAGGGGTTATATAATGACAGAGAAAGCCTAATGATGTTAATTTGCTAAACATAAGCAATCATTACAGGTACTGTGACTTCGAAGGTAAGAAGAAGTAGCTTTAGTGCCATCAAAGCCAAATCTGTACCTGACAATAAATTAATATCCAGAATATATAGAGAACTCCTAAAATTCAACAACAAAAAATACTGATAATTCAATGTGAAAATAAGCAAACGCTGAATACACAGATACTTCTCCAAAGGAGATACAGAAATGACTGGTAAGCACATGAAAAGATGCTTAACATCAATAACAACTATAGAAATACAAATAAAAATTATGAGATACCACTCACACCCATTACTAACAAAAGAAAAAAAAACTCAGAAAAAAAAATACTAGGCTGGTGCAAAAGTAACTACTTTTAATGGCAAAAACCACAATTACTTTTGCAACAACATGTAACAAATTTTGGCGAGAATGCGAAGAATTGGAACATTTGTATATTGTTGGTGGGAATGCAAAATGGTACAGATGCTGTGGAAAACAGTATGGTGATTCCTCAAAAATTTAAACACAGAATTATTATATGATGCAGCAATCTACTTCGGGGTATATACCCATAAGAACCGAAAGCAGGGACTCAAAGAGATATCTGTACATTCATGTTTATAGCATTATTCATGATAGATAAAAAGTGGAAGCAACCCAAGTACCCGTGGCTGGATGAATGGATAAGCAAAATGTGGTATATCTATAAATGGATGATTATTCAGTCTTAAAAAGGAAAAATACCCTGAAATATGCTATAACATGGATGAACCTTGAGGATATTATGCTAAGTGAAATAAGCCAGTCTCAAAAAGATGAGATACCACTGCATGATACCGCTTATATGAAGTACTTTGAATAGCCAAAATCATAAAAACAGACAGTAGAATAGTGGTGCCCGGGGCTTAAGTGAGGGGGAATGGGGAGTTATTGCTTAATGGGTAAAGAGTTCAACTTTTCAGTTTTGTAAGATTAAAGGAGCTATGGCAATGGATTCTGGTGATAGTTCCACAACATTATAGATGCATTTAATACCAGTGAATCGTATACTTAAAAATAGTACATTTTATATTATTTATATTTTCATACAATGAAAAAAATTGAAGAGATGCAAACAAACCTGTACCTTTTGCACAGACATCAAAACCATGGTCTGTACACTACTAGCCTAGGACAGGGTGTGGATCCTCCTAGCAGATGTTAGAATAAGAATCCAGGAGAAAAGGAAAGAAAAATTACCATTTTTATTTGGGTGTCCAGGAATAATTCAGAAGAGGCTTGCAGGGGGGCACCATTTGTATGGGAGCAGAACAAGAGAAATATACTTCCTTGACTATTATTGTAGCCTGAATTTTACCCACATGCAAATAAGCCTTAAGAAATGTTGCAGATAAATGAAAACATTAAATGGAAAAGAAACATTTTGAAGACATAGTATATACTTGCCAAAGGTATTTATTAATATTTATTATTAATTATTTAATATTTAATTTTAAATTATTTAATATTTAATTTTAAATTATTTAATATTTATTAATTATTAGGGGAAACACGGACAGTGGCACACACAGCCATATAATATTCCCAGTGAACAATCACAATGTTTAACAAAATATTTCATGAGAGTTATTCATCTGATTCTACGAATATTTAGCAAATATATCCTATGTGCCAGACCTTGCACTAAATGCTTTTACATGCATTACCTAATTTAGCTCTCCCAAAAAATCTACAAAGTGGTTTCAAGTCACCCTATAGCACAATTTCACAGTTGCGTAACTGAGGTCCAAAGAGATTTTATGAATTTTCCAAGCTCAGGCAACCAGAAAAGGAACCGGGGCTGGAGAACTAACTGACCCACGATGCCCACTGGATCCCAGACACTACACTGGGTGTTTTATTCCAGGTAGCTAGAGATGACAAGTAAAGATGACTCATCAGTGAGGACGTCTTCATGATCACTGAGCTGGGAAGACATCTAAAGCTTCAACAAGTTCACAGATGTAGGAAAAGACAAAGACCATGTGTATGCCAGGTATATTCCATGTCATAGTTCCTGGCTCCAGCTACATTTCATAATTTTGTATCTGTATAAAACTCTGTGAGGCAATAAAGATCAGGTGCTGAAAACACTGCTTTTGAATAGTGTTTCAAAGTTTGTGTGCAAGCTCAAACTTTGGTTTTTCACTGGCATGTAATAATTTGGGAAGTGATAACCCCCTAAGACTTTGCTTATTAATTTGTGAAATGAATGATGAGGCATAATCATGATACTTGATTTGATGGGATTGTTGTGAGAGTTAAATGGAATAAAGTTATTGAAGCATTCAAGAAAATTCCTGGCCAGGCATGATGGCTCACACCTATAATCCCCGCACTCTGGGAGGCCAAGGCAGGTGGATCACTTGAGCCGAGGAGTTCGAGACCAGCCTGGACAACATGACAAACCTTGTCTTGACAAAAAATACAAAATTTAGCCAGGCGTGGTGGTGTGCACCTGTAGTCCCAGATAGTGAGGGTCAGGGGGTTGAGGCAGGGGAGTCACTTGATCCCAGGAGGTTGAGATTGCAGTAAGCCATGATTGTGCCACTGCTCTCCAGCCTGGAAGACAGAGGGAGACCTGTCTCAAAAAACAAAAAAAAAAAAAAAAAGAAAAGAAAAGAAAAGAAAAGAAAATTCCTGTAGCAAAGTCAATGATCAAAGTGACAGCAACTTTCTCATCAGAAAATAAAAATTGTTTTAATACCAACAGACTAAGAGCATTAATTGAAAGGATAAATGCTTGAGGCAACTGATACCCAATTTTCTGGAAAATGATTATTATGTAGTGCATGCCTGCACCAAAGTATCACATGTACCCCATACATACATACACCTACTATGTACCCACAAAAATTGAAAAAAATATTTTAAAGTAAAAAGTGTTCCATACTGTTTCAAGGTAATATGTAATCACTTATTCTTACATTTTAAGAACTAGAAATGTTCATCCTTTCTTATATGCAAAAGGTATAATACTAACAATTTTAGTAAACTATGATGATAAATATACAGAGAAGTAATCAAAATATAGCTGACAACATATAGTATATCCATGACGGGCAGCTGTGGGTAGCAGAGAGTGATGAGAACGTGGAAAAGAAAACATTGGTTCAGATGCTTTTCATATTCTTGCTTCAGTCTTCTCATCAATACAATGATGTGTTTCCACCAGGTAGCTTCAGTGGTCCTATCCAACTTGAAAAACCCATGTGGTTCTATTGATTCTCAAGCATTTTTGATAATCACACTTAGACTATGAATAAATAGACAAATTAATTGCTAGTTCCAATTTAATGACAAATTTTGCTCTCTTGATATCTGCTTTACATTTCAATTCCTTTTCTGTTGCTCTCCTTCTAAGCTTAAATGGATAACCCAAAGCAGTGCAGTGCTTAAGAGATAAAGCACCTGAAATGGCAAAGAAAGAAAGAGGAGAAGAGAGGAGCAGCGAGGGGAGGGGAGGGAAGGGGAAGAGATGGGAGGGGATGGGAAGGGAGGAAAGGGGATGGGCAAGGAGAGGAGATAAAAAAGGAAGGAGGAGGAAGGGGAGGAGGAAGGGAAGGAGGAAGGAAGAAAGAAAAAAGGAAGCAAATGAAATGAAATGAAATGAGACTGGAAAAACCCCTAATTGGGTATTCCAGCTTCAAATCATAAAGTAACCATTAAGCTGTCCCTAGAAATCCCTGTTGTGAGACTGTCTAATCTAGCGGTTCTCTAAATGTTGTCCCAGGAGCAGCAGCCACATCACCTGGGAATTTAATGGAAATGCAAATTCTCAGGCCCATCCTATACTTCGTAAATCAGAAACCCTGAAAATGACAACCAGCAACTTGTATTTTAAGAAGCCCTCCAAGGGACCCTCATACAGGCTAGCATTTGAAATCCACGGTTCTAGCCTCTCAAACTGTATTCATTCCTGTTTTTCTAATAAATTCCAGCATCAAGATTTTTAAACATTTGCAATCTATGGTACTATGTATTTAAGCAACTAATCCTACAACCTACCAAGGTTCAAAAATATCCTATAATCCATTATAGAGCCTGAAATTTCATAGCTATTATATATGGGGTCTATCTGATACTCTGAGCACCCACATATTCTATTTCTATCTAGGAAGTTATGAAGCAGTTTTAGATTACAAAGTAGCAGAAATGACCAGAGCTTAGAGAAATTGCTGTAGGGATATAGATATATGAGATCTAATAACTCATAGTTTGAGGTGCTTAATTCAATATATAGATTAACACAACAAGAAAAACAGGAAATCAGTGGGGCCATCTAGCAATCCAATTAATGCATAAGACACCTCAATTCTCAGAATATTCATACCTCTCTTTCGTTAAATTACAATCTCTTAATAAACTTTTCCACCCTCAAACCCATTCTAAACAACAATTTTCATAATAATTTCTGATCAAAGGCATGGTCCACATTTTTTATATATTTTCTAAATATAAAAGGGAGAAGAACAAAACAAATTATTTTTAAGAAAACAGTGATAAGATATAAATGTGTAGCTACATTTGTTAAGCAACAACAACAACACAGAAGATAAAAACAGTAACATACAATAGAGGCAAAGAAGACAAAATTTAAGTCATATATATCTGTCTTTCCCTGTACGCCAAATCTTATTGACACCAGGAAAAAAATCATATTTTAGAATAAGTGCATGGCACATCGGGGAAAATTTTAACTATCAGATCAGAAATTTGAAAAATAAAAGTCCTTGAAGGTTGAAAGTAGATGGGATTAATATAAGTAATGGGCTTAGTAGAAATAGAAGTAGAGGAAATCAAAGCCCACACTTACACAGGAGAAATCTACTAGAAGTGAGATTGATTCTCCCTAAAACAGCTCCAGATAAAGCTCTACAAAAGACACCCCACACTTGGAGTCAAGCAATACACACAGCCAAGAGGCAGTAACCAGGATAATTATGAAAGGACCATGGTGTGAACAGCTGGTCTAGTTGGCTGCCTTCTCTCATGCCCTTGTTTATTCTATGACTAGCAGCCACGGTATTTATCACTAGAATAAAGTCCTGAAACCCTCTTTCTAAATAAAGTTAACCATCTGCCTCGGGGAGGCTCATAGCCAAACTATAGAGAGAGAGGCACCATAAAGCTTAAGATATTCATGATCTCTACAAAGAAAACAGAGGAGAAATAAAGAAAAGAATTATCTGACTCCAGATTCACAGTAAAGCAAAACCTTCATGAAGCCCTTTGATATATAGCCTCATGTAACAAATATTTCCTCTGCACCCACTATGTAACAGAAATGATTCAGCACCCTCAGAGGATATGCTGGTGGAGAAGTCATCAGTCCCATACCCTGGTCATGTTTCTATTTTGAAGAACAACAACAAACACAAACAAACCTATCTTGGTCACACCAGGCAGCGTTACATGTTATTAAGAAAAAGGGCAGGGAAAAGGGATAAAGAGGGACAGTGGATGATAACTGGATGAGAGCAATCCTTTTCTGAGGAGGTGCATTTTGTGTGAGAAACAATTAAAGGGAGGGAGGAAGCCAAGTAATATCTAGAGAAAGAGCTACTAGGTGAGGAAACAGCTGTGCAAAGGCCCTGAGGTGGGAACATACTCCCCAAAATAGCAAGAAGACCAATATGACTGAAACACAGTGAACAATGATAGACATTATAGAAATTATAGAACAGAAAGTCAGAGAAGTAAGCAGGACCTTGATGTCATATGGCTGTATTGGTCATGCTTAGGACTTAAAGCCATTATAAGGGGTGTTATTGTTGTTGTTTGCAGGGAGTGATGGAACTTGATTTATGTTTTACATTTCTCTGAGGCCGCTGAATACATAATAAACATAGGGTGAAAAGAATGGAAGCAGAGCCCAGATTGGTCTATTGCTGCTGCAATAGAGTAAGTGAAAGATGATGGTGACTTGGATTAGGGATGTAGCTGGGGAGTGGTGAGAGACAGTCAGATATGGTATTTGTTTGAAGGTGGACATAAAAGTGAGCACAAGTTCATACATTGGATGTAGAATGTAGGACAAGAAAGGTATCAGGATGAATCCAAGGTTGGCATGAGCTACAGGGTGAAGGGTACCATCATCTCCTGATATGGGGAGACTAGGGAAGGAGCAGACCCATCCTTCTGTGGAAGTTCAGCTAGGGGTCTCCCAAGATTGACAGGCCTATCAGACATCTGAGTCGAAGGTGCTGAATAGCAGTTGGATTCATGAGACTGCGGTTAAAGGCAGAGGTACTAGATGAGGGGATCTGACCCTAAAAAAAAAAAAAATTCTAAAAGAGAGCACTCGGGTCAGAAACAATGGCTTGTATATGCTACTCCAATGCAAACAACACAAAACTAGTTCTCAAAAAAAAAAAAAAAAAAAAACAATTAATAGAAGGAGTAGAAAAAAATCTTGAAATAGGAATAATGAACTAGCTTAAGGGATTCAATACATTACAGCCATTAAGAAAAACTGGTTGGCATTTTATAAAAAGAAACATTTAAAATATAATCACTTTAAAAATAAAATAAAATTTCATTTAGGATAAGTCAGAGATGGTGACTAGTGAAGAATTTGTGAGCTACAAATGTGTACCTTGGGTTTGGTCCAGATTATAGGACAAGCACATGATGGCCTGGAGAGCATAAAAAAGTTAAGACAGAGAACAGAAACAGAAATCCTAACGTTTGTCTAATAAGACATAAAAAGTATATATATATACACACACACACATATATATACACGTATATATACGTGTATATATATGTGTGTGTGTGTATATATATATATGGAGAGAGAGAGAGAAAAAAAAAACTGAAGGAAAAGATATACATCTTTAGACTGAAATTTCCCCTGAGGTATACAAGATTACTAAACAAGACCAGCACTTAGACATATTTTGATGACATTTCAAAACTCCAAGAATAATGAGCAAATTCCAAAATATCTCAGAGAAGATAAAAACAGGTATATTACTTACAGAAACATGGGAATTAGATTGGTATAGATATCCCATTTCTAAGGCCATGTGCTGAAACAAATATTGAATGTCTTCACAAGTCTGTAGAAAAACATTTCATAATTTTAAATTCTAAATCTAGCCAAAGTATTAACCAAATGTAAGAGCAAAGATATTTTCAGATATATAACTGCTCAGAAATTTAACACCTACAGGCATTTTCTGAAAAGCTTACTGATTCAACAAAACAAAACAAAAAATTACCCAAGAAAGAGAAAGACAACACAAAATAACAAGAAGCAAAGAAAATAGACACCTTATGTTCACATCTAAAAAAATCTCTGCTGCAAAGTTTAAAAATGAAACGATGGCAATCTGGATTTAATATCTGATTATTTAAAAGCAGATGATGTAGAAATAAAAAGTATTCTAGGGATGAAGTCCTGTTCAAGACAAGATATTAGTACTGATTTATAAGTCTAGGTATTAATATAAAATATTTTTACTCACAGGTCTCAAAACTTTAACAATAACTATGAGACAAATCATAAAAAGAAGCAAATTTTGTAATTCATTAGTTTAAAAAAGATGGAAGAAGAACAGCACAAAAAACCTCAATTAATAATAAAGAAGGAAGGTAATGCAGAAGAAATGGAGAAAAGATGTATTAAAAAGCAAAATAATTCAAAAATGAAGAGATAACAAACACACACAAATATCATGAATTACAACAAATGTGAATGGGCTAAATTATCTGTTAAACTCGTTTTATCTTAAAAGTTACTCACTCTAAAATTCTAAGTTGAGTAAAAGGGAAGAAGGAAGCCAAAATATACAAGATGAATGATTGAAACAAAAGATGAAATAATGTGAAATAAAAGCTAGGAAAATATTTTCCATACATCAGCTTACACAAAGAAAGTAAACATGCCATTATTAACATCAGACAAAATATATATGTAAATATACAACCTGATAATAATGAAACATAACTTTTAATCATGAAAGAATAGCAAAAAAATCATAAAATTGGAACAAAATATTTTCTAAAAAATAATTCCAGTTAAAAGATGAAAAGAGCTTTATTCTTTATCGCTTAAAAATCCATGTCCATTGCAGCAGTATTCACAATAGCCAAGACTGTGAAAAAAACTAAATGTTCATCAACAGATGAATAAAGAAAATGTGATACACACACACACACACACACACACACACGCGAATACTCTTGAGCCTTAAAAAAGAAGGAAATTCTGAAATATACAACAACATGGATGAACCTGGAGGTCATTGTGCTAAGTGAAATAAGTTAGTCACAGAAAAACAAATACTGCATAATTCTACTCATAAAATGTTTTCTATGAAAATATTCAAATTCACAGAATCAAATTGTGGAATGGGGGGAAGCCAGGGTCTGAGTGAAGAGGAAAATTTAGAGTTACTAAACAACGGGCACAAAATTACAGTTAAGAAAGACAAATGCTAGAAATCCACTATACAATATTGTTCCTATGGTCAACAATACTGTATTGCAGACTTAAAAATTTATTGAAGGTAGTAGCATGTTCAGTTTTCTTACTACAATGAAATAAAGTAAACAATTATTTTCTTGGTTTAAGAGTGAGAACATTGAATGTTTTTTCTTTCACTCTCCCTTCTTTCCTCTCTTTCCTTCCATAAATATTTAGTGAGCCCTTTCTATGATCAAGCACTGTGATACCCCCAGGATATAAAACAATAATAAACAAGATAGCCACAGACCCTGCCTTCACTAAACTTGTCATATAGTGAGAGGTAGAGAAGACATACAATAAAATGTGACTTAAAAACAAAAACCATCACTACTGTTGATACAAAAGTCTCATATTATTCATATAAGGGTCACATTCAGTAGGTAAACCTCCACATGCTCAAGTAGTGTATCAAAGCTGAGAGTGTAGCCAAGAGAGGGGCACAGATAAATGCAAATGCTTTTGCCATGTTGAAAGAAAATTGAGAGGCAGCTTCTAGTTCTTTCGGGCCCTTCATTTCCTATTTCCCAAGGGAAGCCAAGTTAAAGTGTCTACTCAGAATGTGGCCGGCATTTAACACAATTAGATTGTGATAACAAGTGAATTTGACAAAGCATTGTCTTTTTAATCATGGTAGTTTTCCTTGGAGATACGACCCAAGGTTGTGTTCCACATATTCTGTAGACAGAATTTTATAGAACCTTTGCCAACACTTGTACTCAAGTTTCTAAAAATTACTAAGTTGTTCCAAAAATAAAACTCTTAATGTATATTAAACTCAGAAAGCTGTTAAATTGATGACAGGCATCTTTACATGCACATTAATGGGTTGGTCTTATTAGAAAACAAGATCACTTAATTATGGCCTCCATTTTATCACTTAATTTACTTGATTATTGAAACCAAATAAAATCACTATTCATGTGTCTCTGACACTTAAAAAAAGGGTTAATTATTACACTTTATAATATGATTAATGGTCATTTGGATCAAAATGAAAAGGATTCCTTTTCCCCAGGAATTAGCAAAGAAGAAAGGGTATTAGGTTGAGCAATTTTTCAAAATCAATGCAATAAATGCAGTTATCTAAATAAATTGCAGCATCTTACTGGAAGATAGGTAATCTATATTTTCTGAAGCAGAAGTAATTATTCTACAGTTTTTTTTAATTTCACATTGTAATGGAATAAACTCGATATTGATGGAAGTGTGAAAGAGTTGTGGAACATTAATATATTTGTAGCATAATTAATTTGTAAATGAAGCTAGAGGTAAGAATATTAGCTCATAAGTGAACACTATATGCCAATATTTTATTTAGCTTAATATCAGGTTTCATTTATAAACCAGTTATTTGACATTCATGTAAATCATTCCACTTGTTGTAGAAATTATATATATAATTAAGCAACAAATACACTTAGGATGCTGAACAATTAGTTTTCCAGTTGATAGCATGTGTTCTACCTCTAGATCATTATCATGTACCTTTTCTTTTTGACTATTATAATCAAGATTTGGCAATTTAATGAATATAAATTATGGCAGGTTAATAATAATCAAATATAATTTGCTCCAGCTAAATTTTCTAATGTAATTTATCCATAATTTTTAAAAATCATCTCTGGTTATGTGTCTTTATTAAAAGTCAATGTTGGCAATGATTGATGGGCATTAGGTGGCAAAGTGATTATGTGTATTTCATTTAAATATTTTCAGTCAGAATTCTTTAAGAATACTATGCAGAAATACTAGCATAGTTATTATCGTCCACGATACATTGAGAGTAGAGATGGTATTCGCTTCATCTTTTTTTTTTTTTTTTTTTGAGACGGAGTCCCGCTCGGTTGCCCAGGCTGGAGTGCCCTGGCGCAATCTCGGCTCACTGCAAGCTCCGCCTCCAGGGTTCATGCCATTCTCCTGCCTCAGACTCCCGAGTGGCTGGGACTACAGGCACCCGCCACCACACCTGGCTAACTTTTTGTATTTTTAGTAGACACGGCGTTTCACCGTGTAAGCCAGGATGGTCTCCATCTCCTGACCTCATGATCTGCCCACCTCGGCCTCCCAAAGTGCTGGGATTACAGACGTGAGCCACCGCGCCCGGCCGGTATTCACTTCATTTTAAAGAAAACAAAATGAAGTTTTCTGCTTATAAAAAAGATATATTTTCTTCAAGGTAAAACTGTTACAACTAATTATGCTGTTTCATAATCCATAATAATTATCTACTCTATTTTCATGAGAGGTAAAATTTAATATTACAAAACAATTAAAATCTCCAATTTCATGATACGGTCTTGTTTATCCTACCCTAAAATGTTTCTCCTATTCTAAAATGACTGAATATTATATAATATCCTATTAATATTATACTACAATTAATTTAAAGCACAAATAAGACAATATTTATTTCAATTTTATATACTTTGATCAGACCATATTTTTATTATAAAGAAAGATAAATCCAGATTTATTCATTACCTAAAGTCACCAATATATAAGAATATAATTGATAAATGTTTTCAAAACCTGTTGCTAATAATAAAATAATTTTACATAAAAAACTCAGAATTGAAAGGATAACCTTCAGTCCTTTCTGACAATTTGGTTAATTTTATATTTAAGTTTGAATTCTGCTAAAAAGCAAACTAAAAACTAAAAATTCTCCTCTTCGGTGTGTCTCAGCAGTAACAGTCCCAGTAGTAACAATGGAGAAGCATTTCCTTTCTCCAATACCACAAATGCATGATGGGATGGGTAGTTTTCTATCAACTTGGCTAGGCTATCATGTCCCATTATTTAATCATACACTAATCAAGGTGTTGCTATGAAGGCATTTTTTAGATGTGGTTAGCATCTATAATCAGTTGACCACAAGTAAAGGAGATAATCTTCAATGTGGGTGTGCCTCATCCGATTGCTTGGCAGGCCTTAAGAGCAATAACTGAGGCTTTCCATAGAAGAAAAAAGTCAGCTTCAAAACAGCAGCATCAACTGCTACCTGAGTTTCCAGCCTGCAGGCCTCCCCCTACAGGCTTCTGACTTGCCATCCCCAGCAATCACGTTCCTTAAAATAACTGTTTTTTCTAGAGAGATATATAACAGGTTCTAATATATTATAGGTTCTGTGTTCCTGGGTCTCCCTACTTCCCATAAAAAGAGGGGTCCTGGCCAGAGGAGCAGGCCTGAGAGGTATATTAGGCCCAATCAGAGATGTTTAGAGATGGACAGAAAAAATGCCTATCCATTTCCTATCCATTCGGGGTATCAACCAGCATGACTGAGAGTAACAACTTCAGAGGATGCCAATTAAAAGTGATCTCAGAAGGCCAAGAGAGCAAAGGATACACTAGACAGGCTGGGATGCTTGAAAGCATATTTGGCATATTTCTGAAACTCTACACAGAGGCCAGTATTACTGAACTTTAGGGTTTTCAGTTTATTCATTCATTAAAGGAATATTCAGGTTATTACTATGTGCAGATTGCTGGTGGTTACTCGAGATATTGTTAATGGAAAAGACATCAAGACCTCTGCCCTCAGGGACTTTGCAATCTAGTTGGAGACTGGGAAAAGACAATAGATAAAGACATAATTAATTAGTAGTTACTGCTATGAAAAAATAGGGTAATGAAAGGATTGGGTGGGGAAAGGCGATATTCGGCAGGGTAGCTGGGGAACATCTCTGCAGAAGGCTGAAAGCTGTAAACAGCTAGGAGAAGAGAACACCAAACAGAGCTAACTGCAAACACTTAGGCCCTGAGATGGAAATGTGTCTTCAATTTTGGGGAAAAGAAAGGAGGCCAAAGTGGCTGCAGCATAGCACACAAGGGTCAGAGGTAGATTAAGTTCTAGAGAAAGGCGATACACTGATCAAGTAGACCCTTTAGGCCATGGAAAGAAATTTGGAATTTTAAGTGCAATGGAAGTCATTCTAGGATTTTAAGTAAAGGAGAATAATGATCAAATTATACTTTTTAAAAGGTCATTTTGCCTCTTCTGTTGCTTATGGAATGAGTAGCAGGAAGTTACAGAAGCAAACAGATCAGCTCTAAGATTATTTACATTCAAGGCATGGGATTTTGGTGGGTAGCAGTGTGGATGGAGAGAAATGAAGAGTATTCATGTTGGAAGCAAATTCAATATGGTCCACTAGTGGATTTGGTAAATCAGAAAGTTACCCAAGGTGATGTCTAAGCTTACTTGAATTAGGATAAACTTGTAGTGCAACTGAGTAGGAAGGTGAATAGAAAACAGGGATTCCACTACCAGCTCTCTGTCGGTGTGGCTTTAGGCAATTATTCTAACTGTGACCCTCCATTTTCCCAGCCCCAAACAAGAGTTTACTACATAGAATTCTAAAGTCTTGCCTAGCCCTGACATCTCATGAATCTCTGGAAAGATTATAACTGCAGGTACACTGAACAAAGACTTTTTAAATATCTCAACATTTGGAGAAAATAGGTTTCCCTATTATACTCCCTGCTTTATTTCCCTTTTATTTCTCTCACTAGCAGATCAGACTAAATTCAATAAGAGGAGAAAAAGTCAGCATACTGTCTATCATTCTGACTCATCCTTCATGGCACTCATGAACGCTCTCAAATTAGCATATAGGTGATATGTGAGCAATACCAGAATGCTAAGCCAGGAGAACTCTTCTGTGCTATGATGCCCACAAAAATCAACAAAGACAGTTACAGATGACCTCCCCCATTTAATTCCAAACATTTTAAAAATTGTTTATTTCCTTCTATTTAAAAATCTGAATATGAAAAGCAGAACATCTTTGATATTCTACAAAGTCCAACAACTCAAGTATCACAGATCCATATTGTTCCCTGCATTTGGAATGATCCCCAAAACAGCCTGTTTTATTCAATCACTCAAATGCTATTTTTCCAAGAGATATATGCTCTTCTTGGTCCTGGGTTTATAGCTTGCTGATTTCTCTTAGGGTCCAAAAGCATGCAACACAAGCATTGAGAATAGAAGCAGTTGTAGAATTATGCCCAGTAGGATGTGGTTTTACAGGTGTACTGTTTTGAGACATAGGAAGGGCGACTTTTTCAGAAGAAACAAATAGGAAGCATCAGAAATAGCAGCATGTAAATAACTCCTACTAGATATCAACCATTTTTCTGTGCCTTTTTTTGGGAGTCTCTACTATAAAAAACATTTCAATCTATGACTCTCAATTTCATACCTCTATGAACAAATGTAACACCCAAAACCTGCTTGTATGTACGAGGAATTTAAACACAGAGTAGAAGGCATTTTGTAGTGGCAAATTCTCTCCACTGTGAGGAACATTCATTCTGAGTAGAAATAAATTCTTATTACTATTTGTGAAGGAATGTAGCATGAAGTAAAGTCAGAAAAAGGAAAGCAGAACATGGAGGAAACTTGCTTGCACTATTATCTGTGAGTATATAATTAACTTTAAAAATATTTTCCGAAAAGAACACTGGGTAATAGACGACTAAAAGCAAGAGTATACTACACATTTGAAAAATATAAATGGAGGACCCAATGCCCTGTGAAGCACAAATTTCTGTTGGCATTTAAGCTTTCAACAGGTGATAAAAATAATTGACACTGTTTAATACCGGTGATGAATTTTGATACAAGAGCTTTCCTGGAAGTTAGTGTTACAGAGAATGAGCCATGTGGATAGGCCCACTATGGCAGCAAAGCACACAGATCATGTCTTTCTAGTGAAAGCAGAGTTTGTAGACTCCCTCCAACAAATCAAATCTAGTGTAGAACTTGAGCCTCAAAGTGGAAGGGGATGAATGACCTGCTAATGGCATGCAAATCACTGCTGAAACAATCAGGACTTTTATAAGAACTTTCGTCTGATATTGAGCAATATGAAAAATACTGAAATATATTATCAGAGATAATATTTCTTTGAATAAATCAAAGAAATCATTTTAGAAAACACTGTTATAAATTCTTACAATTTCATGTTGAGTTGGTGATAACAACTTACATCTCTACAGAAGGATACCAAAGATTGGTTTGGAGACTACAAGTAGAATCAGAGGCTCAAAGCCAGAGCTGATCAAATGATTCTGAAATTCTAACTAATGTTTCTGTGTTCTAGCCATAAAGTCACACAATATTTCAAAACTCTGTCAAGAAAATGCTCTGCTTCTTAAAAATGGATTATGTTACAGCGACAAATGAGAAAAATACTTTATATTTAAACAGAAAATGACTCAATAATTATTATGAACTAAAAGATGTAGCAGACAATTTATAGCAAAAGAAAAGAGAATAGCCAATACACAAGAAAGACGCTAACTTCATGAAGTAATAGCAACTTAAAAATCAAAAATCAATAGAAACAAAACACCATTTCATCTACAAAACTGGCTGTTTTTTCTAAAATAATTTTTCCAAATGTCAGCCAAAACAGCAAATTATAAAACAATATGCACAGTATGATTCCAATCTAGTTAACAAACAATTGAATAAGAATTGAGATAGGACACTGGAGAGGCCGGGAACGGTGGCTCACACTTGTAACCCCAGCACTTTGGGAGGCCGAGGCAGGTGGATCACGAGGTCAGGAGATCGAGACCATCCTGGCTAACACGGTGAAACCCCGTCTCTACTAAAAAAAAAAAATACAAAAAAATTGGCGGGCGTGGTGTCAGGTGCCTGTAGTCCCAGCTACTTGGGAGGCTGAGGCAGGTGAATGGCGTGAACCTGGAAGGTGGAGCTTGCAGTGAACCGAGATCGCACCACTGCACTCCAGCCTGGGAGATGGAGCGAGACTCCATCTCAAAAAAAAAAAAAAAAAAAAAGAAAGGAGACTGGAGAAATCTAAATCACAATGTTATCCCCGATTTTAACTAGGTAGTGACAAAATGTTTAAATTCGACATTTTTCTTTCTATTTTTTTCCTCATTTTTCCAAACTTTCCAGAATAAGAAATTTTGCAATGAAAAAAGTATTAAAAACCAGGTCAACTAAAAAGCCTATTGTGCTATTGTGAGGCATTTAACTTTATGATTACTCTTTAGAAATGTTTGTTTAGCAACACCACTTAAAGCACTTTTAATTCCCAGAAGAGATATGCATTCCAAGAGGATGATTACAATTAGAATATTTATCTCATTAGGTGAAGATCGTCCTAATAGAATCCTGTCAACTTTACTGAGATAAATGCGGTAGAAACATTTGGTCACTATAAGACATGCTTTAAAAACACTCAAGCACGTACAACTTACTACGGTGGCTGAAAATGATTCCAAAGATACCCAAGATTTAGACATGTAATGACTGCTTGTTTTCACCTGACCAGAGTAAAAATAACAACTGTTTGCTTCTTCGTTCTCACATCAGATGTTACCTCGCCCCACCACCTGCTCTATCCTTTAATCACATTTGTGGATATTAGAATATTTTCCTATGAAAATAAAGGGTATAGAGACTCCTCATTGCTTTTTTTGTTATGATCATGTAGTAGGGTTGTCAGGATTCAGCTGAAGATGATCTTAAGAAAATAAAAATATCATCAAACAAATTAAAGGAAAAAACTAGGAGATATACTTAAAACAATGAGACTGTTCCAAGGTTTTTAAAACATTATAGGCCAACAGATGACGATGTTTCCAAGAGAATTGCATCAATTAACCTGTATAGGTTCAACATGGCTTCAAATCGCTGTGGATAAAGTAGCTCTAGTTGCTATACATAATACAGGCAAGAACTTTACAAATATTATCTTATTCAGATTGACCTCTTCCTTGATTGGTTCTAAATTAAATTTTAATACATGCATAGAAGCTCTACAATAGAAAGAAGGATCAGAGCTGTGACGGTATTAATAGAAATATGGTATCTCTTTTTATAAAACAAAAAACATATATATGTATGCATACGTGTATATATACAGGCGTACATATATCTATGCATACACAAAAAAACAGGCAACTCAAAAAATAGAAATGGCTAATAGATATATCTCATTGGAAAATCATAAAAGTGCAAAATAAGACTGTTATTATGTCAAATAGAAAGTTAGAATGCAAAATTATATATAAATTCATATAATTATATGTTAATTATGTGTATGTGTATAACTGAAAGAAATATACCAACATGTTAACTGGTTGGAATCATGGATACTGTGAATATTATTTTCCTAATTTGTAAAGGTAGTAAATTCTCTAAAAGAATCTAAAATTATCATTTATTTTTTCATTATGAGAATTTATTTTAACTTTCTGAAAAAGAGTAACTGATATGTCTCACTTAAAATGTCAACACAGCCTATTCTAATCCTGAACTAGATTTTGGCAAGTATCGCCTAAAACTGATCATTAATATAGAAGCCTTCAAATTTTGCTTCAGTTTGACTTTCTTCAACTTATGTAGTAACCCCATTATTGGAACAAATTTCTATCAAAAGTTTAGAGATACATGGACACTATTGAATAAAAAGTTGTTTGGGGTTTGCCTATGCATATTTCCAATGTGTGTTAAAATCAGTGAGATCTTTATATTTAAAGTACACCCACACATATACAAATAAACCCTACCAGGGCCAAGTGTTAGAATATACAGCATGTGGCAATCCAAATATATTTCAAGAGAATAAATTAGGAAACTTCAAAAACTGCATTTATTTTAAATCATAATGATGAAACTGCCAAATAAAATGATGTTCAGCTTTTAATTCTATAATTTTCATTCACCCAAAAAACTCAAAATATTGAAATATTTCTTCCATTAATAACCTGTTCTATATTCTGATGTGGCACTTTATGGAGGAAGTAAAGGAATATTAAAGCAAGCAGAAAAGAAGAGTGGTTTAAAGCAGTGATTCTGATGTCAGAGCCATCTGTGTCTGGATTCTCAATCCTGACTCCTAATTAGAGTTATTTAACTTTCTTAAACATTAACTTTGTCATATATAAAATGGAAATAATTATGCTATATCATATAATTAAAAGATTACATCTTATTATGTACATATGACACTTAAATTGCACATATTCTGTATTAAGCAAACAAAACCGTATTAACTAAAAGCAAACAGTCAATGGCACTGATTCCTAAGCAAATGGAGGAAAGAAATTAAGGAATCCTTCAGCCTCTGAAAGGAGGTCAAGATTCTCTGTTCATTTAACATATTTTTATTCAAATCAGTCAAAGGCAAAGATATTAGTCATGAAATCCAGTATGGGAACAATGCAAGACAGCAAAAGATTACATTATCACTAAGCCATACAGATGGAATCAACAAATAGATATTGTTTTGAAACTTTTCCCTCTTATTTTTAGTTGACACATGATAATTATTCATACTTATAGTATACAGAGTGATATTTCAATACATGTATGTAATGCATAATGATCAAATCAGGGTAATCACCGTATCTATCACCTCAAACATTCATCATTTCTCTGTGTTGCGAATATTGAAAACCTTCTCCCCCAGATCTTTGAAAATATAAATAAATCATCTCCAGCTGTATTTAACCCTACAGTGCCACATAACACTAGAAAGTATTCTTCTTGCCCAGCTATAACCCTGCACCAACCTCTTAACCTCTCCTCTCCTTTCCTTAACCAACCGTTCCCTCTCCTTTCTTCCCCCTCCCCCTCACAGCCTCTAATAACCACAATTCTACTCTCTACTACTATGAGCTCAACTTTTGTTAGCTCTCACATATAAGTAAGGACATGCAGTATTTATCCTTCTATGCCCTACTTATTTCACTTAACATGATACCCTCCAGACTCATCCATATTGCTGTGAATGACAGAATTTCATTCCTTTTGGTGGCTGAATAGTAAGCCATTCTGTATACATACATTTTCTTTATTCATTCATGCTTGCACACCTAGGTGGATTCTATATCTTGGCTATTGTGAATAGTGCTGCCATAAATAGTGTTAACAATAAATAAATAGTGCTGCAATAAATAAATATACAGTGCTGCAATAAATAAATAAATAATAGTGCTGTAATAAATAGGAGACATCTCTTCAATATCCTGAATTTGTTTCCTTTGGATAAATACCCAATAGTGCAATTGTTGGATCATATGGTAGTTCTATTTTTAGCCTTTTGAGAAGCCTCTCTACTATTTTCCATAATGGCTGCACTAATTTACATTCCCATCAACAGGCTATAAGAGCTCACTTTTCTTTGTATTCTCACCAGGAAACATTTAGATCTTAAACTTTGGGGCTGGATAATGAGTAGAAAAACAAGGTATTGCTGGGTCTTTATTGAGACCACATATTCTCACAACTTATGGTGACTAAACAAGCATCTATCACTGCCTTAAGGAACAAGAGAAAAAAATCCACAGGAATAACTCCAAATTTGGTCCATGACCAAAAGTAGAGTAAGTATCTCTAGGAAAGGAGCTTATCCTCCAATGCTCTTAGTTCTCAAGATTTGGTTTCTCTGAGATATCAATAAAAATGGTTAAGTCTCACAATTTCATGGAACAATGACATTTTCAAGAGAGTGATAATACAATTTGGATGTTACCAAGTTTCAAAGCCCACATGTCAATAAGGAAGCATATCACAGAAATAGGGGTAGAAGCTAGAACTCAGGCTGATTCCACTTTTTTTTATTCTGCTCAGATTCAGTCTATCTCAGAACTTCACCAAAAATAACATTTCATTAACAACGGATTGGAAATGGAGAGTTTGCCTATACTGACCCTATATAATCACTGATCTTGCAAACACTAGGAATACTGTTGATTCTGTGCCCTGCAGAGGGACTGAGTCACTGGTAAGAAAGAATTCTCCTTCAGAATTACACCCATGTTGGTTGGAAAAAAAACATTTCCATGGAAGTCAGGACTAACTTGTCTTTCCAAATTCTTAGAACAAAGAACTACAAAAGGACAGTTAAGAATAGCACTCCACCTTCTGGCCGGGCGCAGTGGCTCACGCCTGTAATCCCAGTACTTTGGGAGGCTGAGGCAGGCAGATCACAGGGTCAGGAGATCAAGACCATCCTGGCTAACACGGTGAAACCCCCATCTCTACTAAAAATACAGAAACAAAATTAGCCTGGTGTGGTGGCGGGAGCCTGTCGTCCCAGCTACTTGGGAGGCTAAGGCGGGAGAATGGTGTGGACCCAGGAGGCGGAGCTTGCAGTGAGCTGAGATAGTGCCACCACACTCCAGCCTCGGTGACAGAGCGAGACTCCATCTCAAAAAAAAAAAAAAAAAAAAAAAAAAAAAAAAAAAAGATTATACGCCATCTTATTTGGTTATCTGTTGCTGATATCAAAAGAAAAACTCCCCGCCGCTTTGTTTTTTAAGATGGGGTTAGAGAAGAGTAAGGGTGATAGATATCCTACCTGAATACAGAATAGCCTGAGTAAAACAGAATAAAAAGATCACTGAGCTTCTATATGCACATAAAAGCCTGAGCAGGAAGTATCTGGTCTATTTCTTCCTAGTTTTCTGGTCAACCTGTAATGTGGTCTTAACATATGAGAATGTCCCAACATGTCAATTCTAGACTCTTTAAGGCTAGGTGTATGCTCCATCTAGATTACTTAGAACAATATTTTTCTTATTCAAAATTTTTTTTGCAAAGATTACTTGTTGGTTTAAAATATATATTTTCCTTGTAACATTTCATAGAAAATCACTCCACAACAATAAACATGTTTATGCTGTGAATACAATTTCTTGAGTGTCTACGATACGCCAAAGGGCTGTTCTAGGTACTGTAAACAAAGCATCATCTTTGGGCCAGAAACCAAGTTCTTCAAACAACACACACGAAGTAGAATTATTTTAATCATTAAATCTGCTTCCTTAGAGTAAATCCCAGAAAAATCAAAAGTAATAATAATTAGCATTACATAATAAGAAACCTAAGCACCTTAACCACTAGGAGGCTGCCCAACATACGGAAGATTGTACCTACATATTTGTTGAATAAATAAATGGATGAATGTGTAATATCAAACAAAAAAAAATGGGCTGACCTAGCCAAGATTAAACAAATAACAAGTATTAGAAATACACAGGTTAGAGAATTTGTCTAGTAAGGAATAACCAAAGCCAGTTTTTAAAATGTCTTGTGGTTTTAAAATGTTTGAAGGTTTGTTTTGCGGGGTTACAGGACAATATAGGGAGAAGCAGTTCAGTACCGTGGATAGCTCCCGGAAGACATGCTCTCTAAAGTCTGAAATCTGCTTAATTGCTGTGTCTTTCAACTGCAATCATCTCATTCAAGCGCTCTATCACTTTTATGCCTGATTCACTTCCAATAAGAACAGAATGACTCCTCAACCTCACCCTCACTCTGACACACACAAAACAAATATGCACACGTAGAAGTCTGGCCTATTTGTCAAAATGGAGCACTGTCTGTCTCGATTAGGGGACACGCCTGTCACTTTAGAAAACTGATCCAGGAAATCTTATCTTTTACTGTGTGACAGCTCATCCTAAGAGGGCTCTCTCCCCACCTCGATCTAGGGCAAACAATTTATTGCAGCACCTGATAAAGAAGCTATCTAAAAGTTGGAATGAAATATATTACAGGCTGGGCACCGTGGCTCATACCTGTAATCCCAGCACTTTGGGAGGCTAAGGCAGGCGTATCACTTGAGGTCAGGAATTTGAGACCAGCCTGGCCAACATGGTGAAACTCCACCTCTACTAAAAATACAAAAATTAGCTGCCTGTGGTGTCGCATGACTGTAATCTCAGCTACTTGAGAGGCTGAGGGAGGAGAATCGCTTGAATCCAGGAGGCAGAGGTTGCAGGGAGCTGAGATTGTGCTGCTGCACTCCAGCCTGGGTGATAGAGTGGGACTCCATCATAAAGAATTTAGAAACATATTACAAAACTATAATTCAGCATCATAGACTCAATAAATCTCTTTCTGAGGTAGACTACTATATCATGTTACTACTCCATAAGTATTTACATAAATGACACAACCTAACACTACCTATGACAATAATAATAATTATTATAAAGTAACAATAACTCTAAATTTAAAAGACATTATTTGATATATCCCAAAACAACACAGAGGTGAAGTAAAATATTGACAAATAGGAGACATTCATCTTTACTATTCTACTTCCTTTGCTTGTCTACCGAGTTCCTAAACATTTGTGTGTTTTTATGTTGTGGCAGTCATCCAGGATTGGATATTTATTTACACAGTTTCCCTCATACTAGATTACAAATTCCTTGAGAGGAAGAACAATGTTTTAATTATCTTTGTATCATTTATAACAGCTAACAATATCCTAGATGTGGTAAGTATCCAATAATTATTTTTTTGAATTAAACTGAATTGAAATAGCCCGTCCCTGGTTTATAAAATGTCTGTTGTCAGAGCAGTATGAAGAAGGTCTATCCCTGTCCATAATCTCATTACTGTAGAGAGAAAGAAGGAGGAGCTGCTGTTTCTGTCAGCAAACATAACAAAGAGATTTGGGTCATCTGGAAATAAATATTTACCCCATTAAAAATACCTCTGAGAGAAAGTAATACAAACCATGCCTTTCTGCTGTGAAATCACTGAAGATTCTATTTATGTTTTCTTCTTTATGGTTTTACTTTAAAATCTGCAAAGACTCTGTTAGGAGGAACCAGCAGAGAAGTATAAAAACAGCTGATCACTTGGGGAAAACATAAAGTTAAGAGAAGAGATTCCAAAGAGAGAGAAAATGAAAGAAAGAAGGAAGGAAGGAAATATGGGAAGAAAAGAGGAGGGAAGAAAGAATGGAGAGATGGAAGGAGGAAGGGAGAATATACTAAAAAAGAAGATGCTGTTCAAAGGTGGTACTGGAAAGTAATGAAAGTTGTATCTTGACAAATGGTGATAAGGATAGAAAAAGCATCATCATCCCCAAATCTCACAAGTAGAAAATAAATTTCTTCTTGTCTTCCCATGGATTATATTACACAGAAAAGAGGAAGGATAAATATAGCTTTGTTTTTGTTTGTTTACTTCAGATTACTTCTTGAGTACCTGCTCCAGTGACATGTTTTGGAAGAATTCATTTAGATTGCTTGCAATAGATTCTCAAGTAATTCCAATAACTACTAAGGTTTTCCAAGATAAATTTAAATTGTGTGCTTAGTTTTACCAAAATCAGATATATTGACAATTTTTATTCCCATATAATTTTTTATCTTGAATGTAGTCATCCAACTGCTTTAAAATAGTTATTAACAGTTTGGGGTACTCACTTTAGAAAATTAGTCACTGAGTGAAGCCCCTTTTCAATTCAGCAGGTTTTCTGTTTCATTGAGACTCAATTCTATCAGGTGTTTCTCTTTCAGCATTGAAAATGTCATCCCAAAGGACTTCCAATCCTGTTTAAACACTAAAACTGTGCAGCAGAGCTCCAAATTTCCATGAAAGTGACTCTGCTAGTGAATCTACTTCATTTTTTTCTCCATCTGCAAAGAATAGTCTTGTTTTTCTTTCCTGCCTCAAGAACACCTAATCCTTACATTTTGAAAAAACAGACCTTGAGTTATTGCCAAGGGCCTTATTATAACATAGCTGGAATAATCTGCTATGAGTGCTAGTTGGTGCTATTGTTCTTTACACATGCTTTTCTAATTCAGATATGATTGGTTATGAGCTATTTGCTGAATATTGAAATTTAATATAGTTAGGTTCTCAAACTACCTGTGGACAGATGCCTGTGAATTACATGGGTGTGAGAATTAGAAACATGAGTAGGGCTTTTTAAAGACTCCTTGCTCAACATTAGGCATCATTTTTGACTTGTCACATTTGCTATCTGTGGACTCAGAAAGCAATGCGACAATGGTTTCCAAGTCTAGGTTTTGGATGGGGCTGGAAGTTTTAACAGCCTCACTGTGAACATGTGGCATGTTCCAGACTTCTCAGTGAGGGAGATTACTGCAAAGACTGAGGCAAAGGTGAAACAGGACAGTCTGTAAGGCCAAGACGTAAGTCCAGAGACCATAGAGAGACTTCAATGTCCAGTACAGACTTAAAGAAAACAAAAATAAAGATCTATCATAGTAATGGCTTACTAAGCCCTACAATGAACAGCAGTATTAAATTTTTACTAATCTATTAATGAAACAATTTTTTTAAAATCTGAGTAGTCAGTTAAAAAATAAACCAAACTTTTCCAATTCTAAAACCAATAATGGTTGTGTCATGTGATTTGGAATGCACTAGACAGAAAACTGACAAATTCTGATTTCTTTTTTTCTGTTCTGTTTCTTTGGCCATGTGCCATTAAACAAGTCATTCAACCCTCCTGTGTACTGGGCTTCTATTTTGTCATGTGTAAAACAAAGAGCCTGGACTAGAAAATAACAAAATTTACTTCCAGGAATAAATAGGCATTCATTTAGTTTGAACATAAAACTGTATTACATTTGAACAGCTAGGAAAAGAGAAAAAGTTCTGTGTATTAATATATGTGTTCTAGGTTTCTGAATTTATACTCTAGTTCCTTAAAGAGTAATGTGCTTTTCATTCTAAATAATAAGAGGTGACAAGGATGAGCACTAAGACCCAAATAAATGAAAAAGGTCATGTAACTAGTTCCAGGTCAGTTTTCTCCCAAAATCCTACAAAGCTATAAGATGTGGAGGGAAAAGGCCAACCTGGCTGCTGCTGGCTTGAAGTATGCCAAGAAATTCCATCACAACTCCTTGGAGCCAACCAAGGAGCTAGAACATGTAAGCAGTGGGAGAAAGCTTCCCTCAGCACTCAACATCAGAAGCCCAAATCAGAATGTGAAGTAGGCTGCCAGGAGTTGAATTTAAGTTACTAGAAACACAAAGGGCAAGAGTGCTGCCTTCTTCATCTCCCACTGTATTCCACGATTCTGTAGCGAAGGGCAAGACTAGAGCCAACCTGAACTCAGAGCTGTGACACTGCCCGGGCAGCCATGAGATCCTAGTGAGACAGGCCACCAGATGTGAATACAGCAGCCTAAAACATCCAGCAGCAGGTGAAATGAAAAACAGCTCAAGAAAACCTCATGAAGATCCAGCCACTGAGAATGACATCTTTCGTAATGATCAAATCTAAGTTTGGTCTACTGAGACATTTTACTTCTCTAAGAACAGAATACATTAGATAGCATTAGGTAATATTGTGAGTGACAGAGATACAAGAAAGGCAGAATAAATATTGAACGTTTATCTTGAAGGAATATGTTTAAAGAATATTCTTGATAGGAGGTGGCAAACATTTTCTATTTCCCTATGGTGTTAATATAGCAGACAGTACTAATGAATAATTACTGATAGTGATAATTATTTATTAATAGCAATAGTGTTTTATGTAGTACCTAGGTACTACGTCCTTACAAATTTTCTCAACTGGCAGGTACTATCAACTGATCTGAGTTGGCATGAGGAGGAAAACCTATTTACTATCTCACTATCTCTTCTTTTTTTCTTTCTTTTTTTTTTTTTTTGGCACAGTTTCACTCTCCCACCCAGCTGGAGTGCAGTGATGTGATCTCAGCTCACTGCAACCTCCACCTCCCAGGCTCAATGGATTCTTGCGCCTCAGCCTTCCCGGTAGCTGGGACTACAGGCACATGCCACCATGCCTGGCTAATTTTTCTATTATAGTAGGGACAGGGTTTCACCATGTTGGCCAGGCTGGTCTCAACTCCTGACCTCAAGTGATCCGCCCACCTCAGCCTCCCAAAGTGCTGGGATTACAGGTGTGAGCCACCTCATCCAGCCTATTTGCTATCTTTTCTACAAGAGAAAAAGAGTTCTGTGCTGAGAATCATGACCTGCTCATCCTTCAGGCTCCACCATTAACCACCCCTGGACAAGGTGTCTCATGTCTCTGGACCACATCACTCTTATCAATAAAATTTGCACGGAAGGGTGGGCTATCTCTCAGTTCCCTTTGTGTAGCCCAGCCCTAGATATTTGCAACTTTAAGCAGTGGGGAGTATTGATGAATAATGGAGGAAAGCATGACTGTCACATAGCTCAAAGAAATGAAGTCATGTGTTGAAATCATAAAACATCATCATTTTTCCCTCCTAACAGAGCTACAGATGCTAATTTAAAAATTCTCTATTGAACAGTAGTTATTTAAACCAATAAATGTATTCTTGTGTAACTCCTTCACAGATGAGGAATTAAATGTCCAGAGGGGTTAACCAATTTGCCTAAAATTATGTAGGTAAATCTGCATACCCAGATTATGATGATCAGCACCAAGATTATTATTATAAATAAGTTGTGATAGGGTTTAGAGATGGATTGCCAAACGGTGAGCCCAAATCTAACAAGCCAGTACCCTTCCTCTATCACTGTTAGTTTCTTGTCCTAATTTCTTGTTACTTCAATAGTTTTAGGGTCCCATATTAGTTTCTTGTCCTAATTTCTTGTTACTTCAATAGTTTTAGGGTCCCATATCCTTTCTAAAAAAATTTCTTAAGATCCCTTCTTCACTAAGCATATTGATTTTACCCATCCTTTCTTATTTGCATTTGCAAGTTTCCCAATTTATAATGCCTGAAATGTGTATTAGTGGGCAATGTACTCTCTTTACCACATCATAACTATGCTGAATAAGACCTCACCTAACACAAGCCTTGTGGAATCCAAAACACAGCTATTTACTGCTACCTTTTTGCTTATATCCTTTTACCCGCATATTATTGGATATGCTTCCTTGAGCAGTAATTAGTTAATTCCCTAAAAAAAGATCATAGTATGCCATAAAATGATATTAATCTGTTTCTGTAGATCTTTGCTGTCTAATCTTGAATCTGGTTATCAAGTGTTTTCTGTTGATTTGCTAATAAAGAAACCAGAGGCATTTCAGGCTGCATATGAAATATAATGAACATAAATTCATTAAGTGATCATATTCTTATAGGATTACAATCCAGAACCATCATAGCAATGGAAACAAAAGGATGTAAGGGCCATGACATTTTGCGTAAAAACATATAGGTGGGAGGTTTCATAAGCAGTCAGGAGACTTTAATTCCATCCTCAACCATCACACTGAAGTTACAAACTTGCACAACTTTCCTCACTTACTCGGGGCTCAACTATAAAGTGAGGATTCTTCCTTCTATCACGTTGTGGTTTATCATTTTTTGGCTAATATTGTCATGGCAGCCTCTAGTATCCTCCACGTGTGACAGCTCTCCTGGGCAGTTATATAATTTTACATTTGGCAGCATATACTACCAGTCTTGTTCTTACTCAGGATGACCCAAAGCCAGCCTGAAAGTCAGGCTGAAAGCCACCTCCTCCAAGACAAATTCAAAACATCTTATGAGGGTAATCAGTAACAGCCTGCTACAGCCACAGCTAAGAAAACAACAATTCTGTTCTCCACATTCAGTCTGCACTTTGCAGAGGTGAAGAACTTACTGACTACTTTTTTTCTCCAATGAGGTCAATTGACTCTAAACCACTTTATAAAGCTTCTACACAGGCTCTACAACTCCATAAAGCTAATCTCTCTGAACCAAGAAGAGACTTTAAGATTTTCAAGTTTTCTAACCTTTTATGTTAAAGATAAAAACTTGAGACCCAGAAAGGTGGAAATGCGAGTATTAGAACCAAAATTTCTTGATTCCTAGGTCAGTGTGCTGACAAGGGAAAAATATGATAGCATGGAAAGATGAAGAATTTCATTATCAGTTGGTTATAATGGGCAGTTCTCTAAAACATCATAAAATACATTGTTTTCTTAACATACACTGGAAATTTTAGAAATCTCCTCCACATATTTATTGTTATACTGCCTCACTATAAGAGACAGATTGTCTGTGCTAAAGCTTAAATTATGTCTCCTTCACTTACTTGTTGTTAGTCAAGTTAACTACTTTGCACTTCATTTTCTTATCTATGAAACGGCATTAAAATACCTTCATTAAATCAGTTTTGAAAGGTAAAGAGAGTTAACTAATGTAGTGTTACCAGCACTGTATGCTCACACATTCCTTAGCAAATTCAAGAGGTATATACTGTTTATTGCTCAACAACAACAAATCACTACAAATTAAAATATCCCCAGTGTGTCCTTACACCAAGATGAATCCTTAGGAAAATGTCCTCAGATGTGCTAATAGTCTTAAGAACTCTCAAAGAAGACATTTTCTTACAATGGTCCTGAGGGGTACTGTTCTTTGCTTCCATGACTTCTAAGAGCTGCCATCCTTCATGGAAATATGACTGGAGATTTAAGAAGACAATAGGTTTGTTTAAACTTATTTCAAGCCTAAATATCCATATCTTAATGTAGCCATTTAAAATAATAATGAAATAATACCATGGGGAAAGTTTTAAAATATATTAATTGAATAAAATTAATTTAAAAGAGCATTTATAATACAAATTATGTGAATGTATGTAAAGGAGGGAAAAAGCCTAAATATGTGTACCTCAAAATGTTAACAGAGCTCTCATTCAGCAGTAGGATTATGGGTTTTTTTCTTTATCTTAATTTTTTCCCAATTTTTATACTATAAAAATATGCTCTAAGGACACTTAACTTGGTTAGTAAATATCTTTACAGATACAAGATAAAATAGAAGTTAAGAGCACAAGCTTTGCAATCACTGACTGTAATTTCTAGCTATGTAACTTTGCCTAAGTTCCCTAAAATCTCTGTGTCTCAACCCTCTGGCAAAATTGGGTTAATACATGTTTCTATATAGTAGAGCCATTGTGAAGATTAAATGAGTTAAAATATATGAAGTGATTAAAATAATGCCTGACACATAGTCAGGATTCAACAAATGCTAGCTATTGCTCTTGATGATGATGTCACTAGTTTCATTAATTGAGAATATTGATTTAACCAATAACCTTGCTGTAAAACCGCATGAAATTCATATTTTAATAAAGATAAACATGTTACTTAAAACAAGTGACTGCCCTGAACAAGAGAAGTACATATATAACATTAGTATATTTGCCAAACATGCATTCAGTGTAAATTGAAGACTATTCTCTAATTACGAAAATAAGCTTATGACAACTTATAACAATATTAGAATTATTAAAATAAACACTGTTGTTGGTCCATATTCATACATCTTCCATCCTATATCCATGGATGATCCTTTGTGTACTTTTCTAGGTTTGCCAAACTCATTCTGTTTTTAAGCAAAACAAAACGGTTTGAGGCTTAGGTAGATGGTTGATTGAAGGACAACAGAAATCCAACTTCAGTTGTGTGGTATTTGCAAAGTCAGTACAATCCAACCATGTCTATATGCAGGGTAATAAGAAATTCACCAGGTCAAAGAGAAGATAATCATTATTTAAATCCCTGCTATCACTGCAACAGAAAATCTAATGCCTGGGCAAGTCATTTGGCTGTAATAAGTGATGAAATGCATCTTTAAAATGCAATAGATCTCTAAAAAGAAGTTGCACTTGCATTTTAAAGATGCAAATGCAACTGCTTTGCTGGTATAAAAAAATTCGTATTATAATTTAGTATTTTTCTTACTACTGAAATAGAAGGCTTCATGAAATACATGTTTGGTCTTCATCCACTTTCCTGGGGTACCACACTGAAAATCAGTGGAGCCTCCAAACTATGTATTTTGTATGCCAATGAGTTGACTGCTGGCTGCCAGTCTTGGGTAGCTTCAGGATGGGGGCTGGTCACTGGATAGACCAAATCATGATTAGAGGTTTGGAACTTTCAACCTCACCCCACAACCTCTGGGGATGGAGAGAGGCTGAAAGTTAAGTTGATTACCAGGGTCCGATGGTTTAATCAATCACACCTATATAATGAAGCCTCTGTAAAAACCCAAAAGGATTGGGTTCAGAGAGCTTCTGGGTAACAGAATATACAGAGTTTCCTGGAGGACGGCCCACCCAGGAAGGGCATAGAAGCTCTGTCCCCCACCACCCATGCCTTACCTTACACATTTCTTCATCTGTATTCTTTACAATATTCTGTATAATAAACTGGTAAATGGTAAATGTAAGTAAGTGTTTTCCTGAGTTATGTGAATCACTCTACCAACTTAATCAAACCCAAGGGGGAAGTTGAGGGAACCCCAATTTATAGCCAGCTGGCTGGAAGCACAGACGCAACAAACTGGAGCTTGTGACTGGCATCTGCAGTGAGGGGAGGAAACAGTCTTAGGGACTGAGCTCTCAAGCTGAGGGATCTGACTGTATCTCCAGGTAGACAGTGTCAGAGTAGCATTGAATTAGAGGACACCCAGCTAGTGTCAGCTGCAGAACTGATGGTTTATTTGTTGGTAGTGAGAAATCCCCACACACTTCTTGGTGACTAGAGGTCACAGAAGTCTTCTGTGTTGACTACTGTTAAATGAGAGAATAGAAAAGACACTTTGGTTTAGTTTTTCCTACATTAACAAAATACCAAATCTCCCTTCATCAAGCCAGGGCCTAAGCCACACATATGCAGCATGGAGAATGTACTTTTCCTTGTTTATGTCTCTTAAGTCAGAATCGAAACTCAATTCTTTGCAGAAAGCAAGAAGCAAGCCATATTCATTTTATCTCCCCATTGCTACCTCAACCCCAAACCTCCAAGCATCAAGAATATTTCTTGGCATACAGTGGGCTTTTTCAAATTAATTTTTTCTGCATGAATAAAGCTTTGTGATTTCTTGTTTTGTATACAAATGTAAGAATCTATGAACATATGTTTTATAGTAACACGCTGTGAATAATTATTTTTCATATCTAAAACATTAGCTCCATACCTAGTTCTAAAGGATGTTTTAAATGGGAGGTGAAGTGGCCTGACCAGGTCCCAGCTAAGCAGGAAACTTGTGCAACGGAGGTATCCAAGCCTTCACTCTGTATACCACATGATACTCTTTCTTTCTCAAAATAGAATTAAGGTAATTTCTTCAAACCTGTGATTAACTACACACAACTGAATTTTCTTCCATGTTTAAGTTAGATTAAAGAAAAAAACAAAAATAATGCAAGATTTTTTTAACCACACATAGAAAGTAATTTTCAATTTAAGTGTCTGAATGAAGTTAAATGAAGTGATGGGGATTTGAAAACAAATTTGAAAAGTACAAAACACACCTCAAATGTAATGCATAACTGTTGTTACTGATCTCTTTCAAATCATGCTTTACATTTGAGAAGCTATATCTCAATAAAGAGTGAGAAAAAAGCAATCAATTCTCATGAATTGCCTCCTTTAACCCCTATGACACCAAAATAATATGGCTGTCTTCTGAACTCTGCCTGCTCTTTATCACAAGCTCACCTTTCTTTTCTGCACCTGGACTTTGGCACAGGGTGAGAGGTCTTCAGGGTTCCACGTTCAGTTTTCTATCCTAATTATTGACAGCTCTTGCTCAGAAAACACATCCATGCTCTGGTGAATGCTTCAACTGCCAATCCTTGAAGGACAACTCCCATACTCAAACCTGGAGTCCTGTGTGCACTTCTGAATTACAGTCACCTATCTCCATTTGCCCATTGTGTGTTGACTGGCCTGTCTTATCATTTTTCTCAAGTTAAAAATGCTAAGCACAAAATTCACCACATCACCTCCACTGCCTTTTTAAGACATATTTCTCCTTTATGATCAGACTCCAAAAGTCCACGAAAAGCCTTCTTGTGGACTTAACACATTGCCATTCTGGGGACTGAATGAACAGAGTCCCTGCTCTCTGTAAAGATTTAGCAATCAAAGGGAGTAAAAATGAAGGAAAAGTGTGATAAAGGGAAAGATACTCCACAACACTGATCTGAAATACACAACATTGGAAGCTTCCTCGTGGTGACTGCTCAACATCTTTGAAGATCTTCCTACATTTTGGAATTTTCTCACACCATGAGTCCAATTTTTAAAGCCAGAAAATTCAAAGAGTATGGGCACCAAACCAGGGAGAACCAGTTTTCTGGCAGGAGCAGTTGGTGAGGCATTTGGTTCCTCAGCTTTGGGAGGCCAAGTCCTGGCATCACAGGTGCTGAGAAGTCATATGATTAGAGAGAAGTCCTAAGGTGTGGCTGTGTAGCCCCAGAACCCTGCTCTTTGGCACTCTCCGAGATTCTACGTGTTTATTAGTATCTGTTGTTACGTTATTGTTTTCTGATTCAACTAGCGTGTGCAAATTCTGCTATTTGCAACAGAAAGCCCTGTTCAATACACACATTAAAGCATTGAAACTCGGCAAATTCTCAGAAGCACAGATTGAGCATTAGGGACAAGTGGTTGATTTCAAAAACAATTACATTTATCTTTACCCTAGGGTATTTTTGCACACCAAGCTATTTTGCCATGCTACAGAGCCACACGTGGAAAATCCACGTTTCCATGAAATGGGAATGCAGAAGCTCTTAGCTCATATGAATAAGTTTCACCATGATTTCCTTAACAAGTAGTGAGTGTTTATTCTGAAAAATAATATAGGATAGTTAATTTGATGACAGTAAGTTTATGAAAACCTGTGTTTTCTCCACCCTGAGGGTAAATTCAACCAAAATCTTAAAATTTAGTTTCCTAAGCAGGGTTTCAAGGTCACCAAAAATCAATTTGTTATGATTATGAGTACAGCACAGTCATTAGCAGGATGAGCCCCGGAATCAGCATATCTGAATTTGAGTCCCAATTCTACAACTCAACAATTTTGTCACCTTGAGCAATATAAATCACATATCCATGCATTAGTTTCCTTTTCTGCAAAACAAAAAAACTTATAGTACCATCCGAATTAGTTTTATAAATATTGTATAAGAAAATGTATGGAAGGTTAGTAGCACCTTGCCTAGCATATATTTAGACTCAATAATTGTTAGCCATTATGATTATGAGTAATATTTTTAGCAATTATGAGGATCGTGATACCATACCATGCGAGGCCTTCTAGAATTTGGCTAAGCCCTGTGCTAGATGTCTATTTAGTAGGACCATTTAATATAAAACATCTCAGTTGTTCCAAATTACTTTTGAAACTAAATTGCCCACACTCCTTGGCTGAGAAACATCCACCTGGGGGTAAGTTTCCTGACTGAAAAGCTATGCAGCTCTTGATGGGCTGTTGTGTTTTTTGTTTTTTTTTTTTTTTGCCTGAAAACAGCTTTTCTACACCAAGGCCCCTTTGAGGGCATTTTGGCCTCAGCTTAGAAGGACAGTGAGCTACTGCAATGGCATTTATAGAGGGCCTCAGAGTTTCCAAATATTCATTTCTAGACAATGTTTCCAGTTGGGGTCTCTTTCCAGTGGCTGGGGGAAAACAAATATTTGTCTTTGGATAGGTGTGTTCCAAGCATTTAAATACTTCCCTGGGAAAATATCATCTCCAGCAAATGTTAACTTTAAAAGTTAGTTGTTTGTTTAGCAAAAAAACTATTGCTATAAAACACAATCTTCCCAAGGTATTTGCAAACATATGTGTTGGTTTTGTCACTACTTTTACGATGTGGTTATGATGTGTTTTGGTTTGATACCTAAAGTTTCTTTTGTTTAATGCCATCATCCATTAACAATGGCTGTCACCATTGTTTGGACTGATCCTTTTGACAAACTGATGAATATTTTCTATTATTTCCTCAGAAAAAGAAATTCTCCTATACCTATATTTATGTCTGCATACAGAACAACCATGCATAGTTAACAGTTGAAAGCTCTGCAATGAATGTCCAATAAATGATCTGTTCATTGGTATTGCATAAACCAGAAATTTCTAGAAACTAGCACTTCAGTTCTTTGCTATAACAATGATACTGGACATTCATAACCCTGGCTTTGTGAACCCCTTGAATCCCTTCCACAGGTACTTTAGAGTCTTTCTCCTCAAAGTGCAATCTTAGAACCAGCAACATCCGCATCGTATGTGAGCCTGTCGGACACACAGAACCCGAGACCCCAATTTAGACTACTAAATCACAGTTCACATTTTAACGAGATCCTCTGTCGATTCACATGCACGTTAAATTTTGTAAAGCACAGCGTTGGGTTCATGGATAGTTGTTTAAGAACCTCTGATCTCTATCGTTCTTTCTGTACTTGAGTCACAAATTAAGTGAAATTTTCATACTGTCTTCTAGAAAACCCCAATGTAATGTGTACGAATGAATACAAATTAAAGGCTAATCATTTATTCATTCATTATTTCAACAATTATTTATTGAGTTCCATTACATGTCAGGCATTGTTTCAGTCACTGGAATAAAGCCTCTGTCTTCATTCTAAAGACAGAATACAGATAATAAATATGCAAATAAAGATATAATCTGCCAGACGGTCATTAGTGTTATCAGGTAATACAGAGCAGGGTGGGGGTGATAGGCAATGCTGGTGGGGTGCTGCTTTTAAATGGGGTGGCCAGGGAAGCCTCATGAATAACATGGTATCTGAGCGAAAATCTGAAGGAAGTAAGGAAGTGAGACCTGCACCATTGGAAGGAATTGCTTTCCAGCAGAGTAAGGTAAGGCAGCAAACATCCTCAAGCAGGAAGATGTTCAGTGCATCTGAAGACCAAGAAGAAGGCCAGATTCCCTAGAATGGGAGAGCAAGAGGGAGAAATTTGGAAAATGAGATCAGTGAGGTGGGATGAGAGTGATCATTTAAGTTCTAATAGTCACTGAACACATGTACCAATTGCAGTGAAAGCCTTAGGAGAGAGACCTAGGGCAGTGAAAAAGCCTTTCAATTGCAGTGAAAGCCTTGGGAGAGAGACCAAGTCCAGGTGGGTTCAGTGGAGGGGAGAAGTGCCCACTCTCTTCCTCTTAGCCACAGAAAGTCTCCTCTAGAGAAAAAGATTTCTGAGGCCACTTGAAATACAACTTACTCCCATCAGAAAGCAGTTTAGTATTCTTTACTCTTCCTTTTTTTTTTGGAATTTAGACTTAAAATATAGAGTTGCTAAGCACTGCTGGCAAAAACCAGATTCTGTTTCAGAGGGTCTGGCACATACTTGGCAGGAAACATACTAAACTGGAGTTAAATAATAATCCCATGACTGGCTATAATTCAGAGCCATATCTTGGCTACCTTTTTAGGCTTATGTTCATAATTATTCTAGACCACATTTCAACAGTATTCTAGCCATCTTCTCTGAACATCTGTTTTGGGAACTCTTCTGTCTTTGGCCAATGTGTGCTGTCATCCCAGACAGCAGGCCAGATGACCAGTGCCATCTCCTTAATATTATATGTACACGTCTTATGTTTTTGAGTCTATGTCAAGTTCCCATTGGGAGACACAAGGTTTTGGTAACGAGGGAAATGTGCTTTTCTTGTTGCCACATGTAAACCACATGAAAGAAATCATGACTATAATGCTTAAGAAGTCATGCCAGTGACTATAAAGATCAGCCCAGCCTACAAATCACAGCAATCAATTTGTACAACCTTTGTACACAAGCTAATCTAATCCATGCTAATCTCTCCATTATGACAATGAAGATGCTACAATTACTCCTCACACAGAAAGGCTTCAATCAAATTAATGTTCCATGTCAGATCTATCTTAAACTATTTCCTCTTCTTCATCCAGAATAAAGAATGAATAAATCTGTCTGGGCTGATTGAGCCTCCCAAAGATTTTCAATCTAATCCATCCAAAAAGGAATTTGCAAGTCAAAAAAAAAGCCAAATAAAAATAAGGATAATAAATGGAGGCTGTTATCCACTTACAGATAGGTATAATCCACTTTAAGAAAATTTATGAAAAGAAAAGTTGAGAGATTATGATTCAGAGAAAGTTTCCTTTTCCCACTCAATTGTCGGTAGAATATTGAAGCCAGATAGGATCAATGGAGCTCATAATTTACAAATGAGAGAATGGTGCCTGAAACAGGCAAAAAGACCTTATTCAAAGATGCATACCTCTGTGGTGGCAGAGAAAACACTAGAACCAAGGTTCCTCATCTCCCAGGTAGCTCACTCCCTTGCACACCAGAAATATCTATAGGGTGACTGTACACTGAAGCATCTCTGATTTGCTCCAATATTTGTTCACAGATCATTAACCACTTGGAGGAAAAAGGGGAACTAAGAAATTTAAAGTTAAAATGGCAGGAACCTTTGCTAATTGAAAATCAATCAGAAATGAAGATAGAATGTCTCAGAAATTCTAACGCAGGTCAATAGAAAAATTGGATTCGATTTTTAAAAATTTAATTTTTACAACTCTCAGAAATATTTCTATTTGTGCCACAGGAGGCACCCTTATAATGTCAGTGAATAATTCTAGGGAATCATTCAATCCATCTGTTCCATATTTGACCTATCTTAATTCTACAGGTGATAGGAAACACAGAGAGCAGAAAATGCTATCATTCAAAATCTGATGTTATAAAACCATAAGCCTATTATAAAGATGATCAGCCCAAAATGTGGCTTCATGCCTACAACTGAAATAAGAAGAAGAAAGAATGCCAAGAACAAGTAAACAAGCTAGCTAACCCAAATGAGTTTTTACATTTGCCAACTCGAGTTTAGTCAATAAATTATTTCTCAAGATGTGGCAGAGCTATCATAAGCCCAAGTACAGGTCATCCATAACATGGAAATCATTTAAAAATTCCATCTCTAGTTCCCAGTAAATCCTCTGTTTATAAAGACTCATCATCAGAAAACTCTTATAACTAGCATGGCTATGTTTTCCTAGGACATAGCAATGACCTGCGGGTATCAGAGAGCCTCAGGTGTCTGCTTATGTCTGTATCATTCTGGCACTGATGTATTCTCGTTGGTTCTTGTTTATGTTGTAATCCTCTCCAAATAAGTATATTGCACTAGCAAGAATACTTTATTCCCTAATGACTGTAGATAACATATTTCATTTTCAGTGATCTGTTTGGTATAACCTTAAGCATGTTGAAAGATCCATTCACAAACACAGCCCTCTCATTTTATATAATAGAAAACTGAGATGTTTAATAATTTGCCTAAAGGCTATTACAGTTTATTTGTGCAAATCCAGGACAGGAACTTGGGTCTCCTGGCTCCTTATCAGCTTCTATTTCCACTATGTCAAGCTACCTCCTCTATGAGTCATCCCCACTGTAGGACAGAATCTTACTTGATCCTCCAAATCCAATTCAAATGGCCTACATTTTAACTCACCCATAATTACTAAATTGGACCAGAAGTTTAAAAGCAACTGCTTTTTCTATTACAGTGGAAATTTTGGCTCAATAACTATAAATGTCTTACTCACAACATAGCACAAAATGCCAGGCTTTCCAGAATTTTTTTTTTTTTCCCTTCTGGGCTGTCTCCGAACAAGCGTTTTCAATGCCTTGTGACACCGGAGAAAAGCCTGCAATCTGTAGCAAAATGCTTCACCAACCCAACACTTCTGACTCTCATCCAAAACTTACAGCTTATTAAGGATTTTAAGGTAATGCCAGCACACTATAACAGGCAATGTTTATTGAGCAAGCCCTCCTTCCCATGTCATTCTTGCTACCAGGTCCTTTGCACACATAGCATCTCATTTCACCTCAATCATAACCTTGAGAAGTGGCTACCATGAACCCCAATCAACAGATGAACAAACTCAGGTCCAGAGATTCTTAAGAATCCACCAAGATCAAACAGATGATGAAAAGAAAAGTCAACACTGGAGTCCACCACTATGCTAAAATGTCCCTGAAGAGTACCAACAAGAAACAGCTCTCATTTTTCAGCAGTGGATGCATTCTGCAGGTGCTGTCGTTCCTGAGCATCTGAAGTTAAGGAAATAAGTGGAAGACACTGGTAAGTCTGATAAGATTGTTACTTCTGTTACATGTGTCTTCTAAATCAACTTCCAACCCATAAATCTGCAATTCTACATTTCCTCATCCACAGACCTTCCAAAGCACAGCAATAACAGTCCTCCTGCACATGCACTGTTTTAGGGGTAGTGAAACAAGGCCTTCTGCACATTGGCTTCCCAAAAACCAGTCATTTCTCCATAGGCAAAATGCACTTCAGCATAGCAGTGCTTTAGGTCATGGAGAGGATTAAATGGATTAATGTGTGCAAAGCCCTTAAATAATGTCACATAGTCAAATCTGTACACATTAGTTGCTACTATTATTATCCCTATTCTTACAAAACTAACAAGCCAGGCAACAGTGCATTTCTACGTTCAGTGTTGATAATTCAACTTACCAGCATTTATTAAGCATTGACTAGATGTACAGTTCTACAGCAGGAACTGAGGAAAGAATAATAAAGGAAAAACAATTCCCCTCCCTGTTCTCCAGGGTCTGGCAGTACACTTGGGGGAAGGAAGATAAATGCAGATAAGAGCAAGAACAAAAATTAACAAGCAAAAGAAACATTCCCATGCCTGGTATATATAAGGAATGAAGTGATGGTGGTGACCAGAGAGAGGCTGGCTGGCTTCATGCTTCCACCAGGATCGCCCTAGACTAGAAGGGACATGTAGCATTGCAGAGAGTACGACAGGAAGCCGTAGGGTCAGTGCAGAGGCTCAGTAGTGGCATTGAGTAATAGGAGAAAAGTGAAAAGATCCTCTGCCTCGGAGGGCAGCTGGCAACATGAATAAATCAAGGAAGTCAATATGCTTTGTAAACCATAAAATTACTCAAGTTTTAGATGTGATTTCCAATGTGGATGGTTCTGATGAAGTTTTAACCAATCGTGAATCCCAACTCACCTTGGGATTGAGAGGTGCATAGTTGTCTCTCCCGGAGTTTAACCATTTATGGGGATAATAGAGTTTGGATATTTGTCCCCTCCATACCTTATGTTGAAATTTAATCTCCAATGTTAGAGGTGGGGCCTGGTGGAATGTATCTGGGTCATAGGGGTGGATCCCTCATGAATGGCTTGGTGCTATCCTCAAGGTAATGACTGAGTTTTCACTCTATTAGTTCCCACAAGAGTCTCCCCACACACCCCCTGCCAACCTGGCTGTTAAAAAGAGCCTGGCATCTCCCCCGCTCTGTCTTCCTTCCTGTTTCACCATGTAATATCTGTTCCTTTTTCCTTCTGCCATGGGTGGAAGCTTCCTAAGGCCCTCATCAGAAGCAGATGATGTGGCGCCACGCTTCTTGTATAGCCTGCAGACCTCCAAGCCAAATAAACCTCTTTTCTTTATAAATTACCCAGCTTCAGGTATTCCTTTATAGTAACACAAATGAACTAAGAACAGGGGAACAATGCAGCCAGGATATTTGGGGGCACAAGGGCTAGTGCCAGCTCCCCCTCTACCATGCAGGCACATGGGCCTGGGATCCAGAATGCCTGAGCCTGGGGCTCTGCCCCACGCATGCCCAACTCTGTGACCTTGGATGCCTACTCTCTGGTCCTCAGTGTTTCCTCATCTCTACATTGGGTCCAACAACAGCTATCTCCCTAACAGGAAGTGGAGTGAACAGTTGTAAAGACTAAACAAATTAATAGATGAAAAGTTCTTGGCAGACTACCTGGCACCTCATACATATTACAGAAGTGTTTGCATTATTTTAATAAGCTGTATTACAGGTATGCTGCTCTCTGTCTTGCTCCAGCTCTTGACTGTTTTCTCCAAGACCAGACATCCAGTAGTCAAATCTTTAAGTACTGCATTCACTTGGCAGGACTTGGGATTTTGGATGTGGTCTCATAAGGGCAATTAAAGGAAACAAAAGTGGGAAGTGGGTTCCAAGTCTTCGCTATTGTGAATAGTGCCACAATAAACATACGTGTATTTCTAGTTCTAGATCCCTGAGGAATTGCCACACCGACTTCCACAATGGTTGAACTAGTTTACAGCCCCACCAACAGTGTAAAAGTGTTCCTATTTCTCCACATCCTCTCCAGAACCTGCTGTTACTATGCAGCCATAAAAAATGATGAGTTCATGTCCTTTGTAGGGACATGGATGAAGCTGGAAACCATCATTCTCAGCAAACTATCGCAAGGACAAAAAACCAAACACCGCATGTTCCCACTCATAGGTGGGAATTGAACAATGAGAGCACATGGACACAGGAAGGGGAACATCACACACCAGGGACTGTTGTGGGGTAGGGGGAGGGGGAGGAATAGCATTAGGAGATATACCTAATGCTAAATGACAAGTTAACGGGTGCAGCACACCAACATGGCACATGTATACATATGTAACAAACCTGCTCGTTGTGCACATGTACCCTAAAACTTAAAGTATAATAATAATATAAAAAAAGTGGGAAGTGGGGCCTGGACCTTAACAAACAGGCCTGACAAGAGCATGGGCATGAGGGAGGAGGCTTCTCCATTACCTCACATATTCTAATACTTGCTCAAGTTCAAGAGTTCCTATTTTTTCCCATCATTTCCAGCACAGAGGCTTGGGCATCTAAATGCAAGTCCGGCATCCTTGGCGCCCTTGACAACATTCACAGAAACCCAAGGAGCCATCTCAGGCTTCAGACAAGAGCCCCTGCTGGGAATTAGGAGGCACAAGGACATCTGTTTTTCAATTTAACTATTTTTCATTTTGCATGGACATGGCCCAGTGGTTCTCGAACTTTCATGGCCTACAACCCTCTGAGGGCTTTGGCCAACCCCTCGAGTTCCACATCAACCTGTCACAAAATGACAAAACCTAAAAATTTGAGCTTCTAGTGCACTTTACAGTCAGTGCTCAGAAACAGCTTTATAGATTCAGACTAAATCACTTTCTGGCAGGCTTTCTACTATTCATTTAGTGCTCCTAACAAACTATGAAGAAGACAGCATCAGACACATTTTAAAACACAAAGACTAAAGCTTACAAAGTTAAACTGAAATGCTTCATATTCCAATAATCGCCCACTAGTAAAGTATGAATTTTTTTTTTTTTTTTTTTTTTTTTTTTGAGACGGAGTCTTGCTCTGTCGCCCAGGCTGGAGTGTGGTGGCATGATCTCGGCTCACTGCAAGCTCCACCTCCTGGGTTCACACCATTCTCCTGCCTCAGCCTCCCGAGTAGCTGGGACTACAGGCACCCACCATCATGCCCAGCTAATTTTTTGTATTTTTAGTAGAGACGGGGTTTCACCATGTTAGCCAGGATGGTGTCGATCTCCTGACATCATGATCCGCCTGCCTTGGCCTCCGTGCTGGGATTACAGGCGTGAGCCACCGCACCCGGCCAAAGTATGGATTTTTAAAATATATTTAAGAGGTACAAGTACAGTTTTGTTCCATTGATATACTGTGTAGTGGTGAGTCTGGGCTTTTAGTGTGACCATTGCCTGAATAGCGAACACTGTACATACTATGTAATTTTTCAAACCTCAAACCCCTCCCATCCTCTGTGCTTTTGGGGTCCTCAGAGTGCATTATTTCCATCTTGTCTATGTACACCCATTGTTTATCTCTCACTCATAAGTGAGAACGTGATACTTGACTTTCTGTTTCTGAGTTCTTTCACTTAGGATAATGGCCTCCAGGTTCATACCTGTTGATGCAAAAGACATGATTTCATTCTGTTTTGCGGTTGAGTTGTATTCTGTGGTATATATGCCACACTTTCCTTATCCAGTCCTCCATGATGGACACTTAGGTGCTGATGCCATGACTTTGCTATTGTGAATAGTACTGTGATAAATATATGAGTACAGGTATCTCTTTTTTAATAAAATGATTTGTTTTCTTTTGTGTAGATATCTGGTGGTGGGATTACTGGATTGAATAGTAGTTCTATTTTTGGCTCTTTGAGAAATCTCCACACTGTTTTCCATAGGGGTTGTACTAATTTACCTTCCCACCAACAATGTATAATGGTTCTGTTTTTTCTGCATCCTCATCAACATCTGTTGGGTTTTTTTGTGTGTGTGACTTTTTAATAATAACTATTCTGACTGGTATAAAATGGTATTGCATTGTGGTTTTAATTTGCATGTCTCTGATTACTGATGGTGTGCATTTTTTCATGTTTGTTGACAACTTGCATATCTTCTTTTGAGAAATGTCTGTTCGTGTACTTTAAAGCCCCCTTTTAATGGGATTGTTTTTTGTTGTTGTTCTTGTCTAAGTTCCTTGCAGACAACTGGGACTTAATTTAAATAAAAAGCTTCTGCAAAGCAACAGAAATAATCAATAGAGTGAGGAGACAACCTACAGAATTGGAGAAAATATTTGCAAACTATGTATCTAACAAATGATTAATATCCCGAATCTACAAGATTTGGATTTGACCTCAGGCTGACTTGACCCCCGACTATGCCAGATACCTCTATTCTCTTTCACCCATTCAAAGACTATTAATCAAAAACCTGTTCTGTGCCAGACACTACAGGCATGGGATGCAGTATGAAAAAGACAATGTCACTGCTCTCAAGAAGGTTACACTCTAGACAGGAAGGCAGGAAATAAGCCAACAAATAAATATATATTATGATCTAAGATATATAAGGGTCATGAAGAAAAATAAAGCATGGTAAGGGATAGAGAATAAGGAAAGAATGAGGGAGTGATTACATGTTGATCATAAATGAAGTAGGGGAGTCAGGCAAAAATCTGGGGGAATATGAAGTGCCCAGTAGAGGCAACCACAAGTGCAAAGGCCCTGAGGAAGATCCAAAGAAAAGTAAAAACCCCAGTGTACTTGGAGGAAAGCCAGCAAAGGGGAGAGTGGCAGGAGGGGAAGTTGAAAAGACTGACTCAGGCCAGATCACACTTGGTTCCTGTGAGCCATAGCAAGCCATTTTTATTGCATGCACTTCTTTTTCTTTTTTTTTTTAATTTTAACACAGCTCATTTATTTAGTTATTTCACAAATATTTATTGAGTACCCAATGCAGATTTGTAAAACACAGAATCTGTCCTCAATAAATTCAAAGTAGAGAAAGGATGAAGGTACGTAAATTACTATGATACAAGGTAGAAAACTGATACATGGCATAAAATATACAAATACTGTGTCATAAAAAACTCAGAGAAGGTAACTTTTATCAGCTGGGGGGATCATTAAACATCTCCTGAAGGATATTCGAATGTAAAATCTGGATTTGAAAAGATAGGAAGGACTTATATATGGAGAGAGAAGACCTACAGGTAGAAGATACTATTGCTTGAAGCTAAGTAAAAGCATGCACTTCTAAGAGAAAACTGCCAAAGGCTTTGTGATGGGTATTATATTTTCAACAGAATTTTAATTTTAAAAGATCCCTCTGGCTGTTGTGTGGAGCACCGACTATGGAGGAGCAAGAGTCAATGCAGGAACCTAGTTAGGAAGTCAATTTAGTAGTTTGGATGAGAGACTATGATGGTTTGAGCTAGGTTTTTAGTTGGACTCATGACATATTTTGACAGTTTTCTTCCTGGTATGAAATTACGGTAGTCCTTGATGAATTCTTTTGGAAGAAATTCTTTTTGAAATCCAGTTTGAGGAATACTGAAACTCAAATGAACAGGACTCCTTCACTCTGACACTGGGAATAAATGATCATGACTTAAATGTGATGTTATCACCCAAATGACAGTGCATCAAGCACATGATGTAGCAGCAGGATGACAGTGAGCACTGAGCCATGCTGACAGTGCCACACTTTCCCCTTTTTAAAAGGTGAAAGCATTTACTTTCTTTTACCCATCCATGGGCCAATACCAGAGCAAGTTTGTCTTGCTATAAAAATAGGTTCCACAACCCTAAACTTTTAACAATAATTACAGGTTTCCAACCTTTCTGCATTAGAGTAGACTTCCATACTGTCAGCTCAGTCTGAGCCAGGACCTTCACAGATGGACATATCATACAGTAAGTCTGCTGCTTTTTGGGCAAAACTCTCTTCGAGGCACTCAAGTGCTATTGGTACTACCTTTGTGCATAGGAGATTACATTTTATAGAGATTAAAATGTATGATTGAACAGCATCACTAGACTCACAAGCCTGTGCTCTAAATTAAGGTGGCTTGTTTGGTATGTCTGCAGTGGACAATGGTGTGACTCCCACATCTCAGTCCAGAATTTTTTAGGTTCCCCCTTTGCCATTACAACAACCCAGTCTGCTTCAGAGCCTTTTATATCTACCTGATTTTGCTAATAAGGAAGGAAGCAGAAAATATTTTCATGATCATGTTAGGAGTGAGAAGCAAATCCAGTACCAGATCCCAGGTCTTCTCACCTCCCATGACAGGACTCCCTTGATCAGACCAACCTACTTTCCATCCTGACACCTACCTTCCCAGAGGGTCCTAGAAGACCAAGGCAATTTTATTATTTAAAAAAAAAGTTGCTAGAAGAGAATAGATACTACTAGGAGATGGAAGGATTGTTGAGAAAATCCGAAGGAAAATAAGCCTGGGTTTAATCCTCAACCTTGTGTTGAATCTGTCCGCAAAGGCATGTCCCTTCAGTAGGTCAACAGTCAAAACAGATGGAGCCCTTACTGTGTAGAGAGTCTTGGTGACGAAGAACAGAAGACAGGTCTTTCCGTGGGAGAGGCAGGATGAACAAACAAATACACAACAGTAGCACATATAGGTACAGAAACGTGACAAGAAACACTGGATCATCACAGAAAATCATTTAAAGAAGACAAAAGTTTAACAGCTTTGAAAAGGGAGATAGATCATGAAAGATAGTTTTTCCCAATGTGGAAGAGAAAATAACCCAAACACAGTTAGTCAATTGTGTGCATCAAGACTCACAAATGGGATAAAAACTTTATGTACTCAAGAAGTTAAATAAAATGATGAATGATCTGGAAACCATGTGCTTATAATGTTGAATAATTGCCTTCGGGTAACAGTTTTGAACAGGCTTGACCTAGGTTTTATCCAAAGTAAGTATCACTAGAAAAGCAGAGTTAACTTTCAAAACACATACTGGTACCTGAATCAGTACAACATTCACACCTATTTTTGCACTGTGCTTGTATTTTTCTGTCCAATGTGCTGAAACAGTACCCTTCATGGAGAAAAGCCAAGTATAGAAGAAAGTCTAAGTGAGGAACAAGAGGTTGGGTGTTTACCCTCAGGTACCAAGAAGATTGGCTCTGGCACTCTCTGAGAAAATAATTCTGAAACTATAGCCATGCACCATTCTTTGACTTTGTGGGTTTTTTAGAACTTGGGCACTCCTCATGATTTGGTAACAATTATTACCTTTCTGTTTTCCTATAACTCTCAGCACATTCTTGACACATATAAAAATGAATAGATATATTCATATTTTATTCAGCTAAAAATTAGTCATCATAGCAATCCTGGGAGAACTGGTAACCTGTTCTTCACGCTTCTAGAAATTAATTCCACATGGAGTTAAGTCTTAAATGATACAGATACACTTTCAGATTCATATATTTAGGAAAAAACAGTAAAATATAATTTCAGTAATAGCCCCAAATTGGGGGAAAAAAACCCAAATGCCCTTCAACACACATGAATGGATACACAATCTGTGTTACATCCATAAAATAGAATCTTACTCAGCAACTGAAACACACAACTTAGATAAATCTCAGGTGTTACGCTGAATGGGAAAAAAAGTCAATCTCAAAAGGTTGCATAGTTATTATTCTATTCATATAACATTCTTGAAATGACAAATTTTTAATGATGGAGATTAGTGGCTGCCAGGCATTAGGTTGGGGAAAGGACAAGATTACAAAGGGACTGCACCAAAGAGTTCCTTTGGGATGATTGAAGAGATCTCCATTCTGATTGTAGTGGTGGTTACACAAATCTATACATGTGATAAAGTTTCAGTGAACCATATGCTATAAAGGAAAATGATTGCATGTAAGAACTACTGAAATCTGGAAAAGATCTATGGTTTAGTTAATAGCATTTACCAATGTTGATTTCCTGGTTTTGATAATTGTGCTATGATTACGTTATATGCTTTCCATGATGGACACTAGGTAACAGGGACTGTGGGAACTGTCCGTAGCATTATCGCAATGCCTATGTATGTGTAAAACTATTTCAAAATTCACAAAACAAGTTTATATATGTATATATATATATATATATATATATATGTTTATTATACTTTAAGTTCTAGGGTACATGTGCACAACGTGTAGGTTTGTTACATATGTATACATGCACCATGTTGGTGTGCTGCACCCATTAACTCGTCATTTACATTAGGTATATCTCCTAATGCTATCCCTCCCCCCTACCCCCACCCCACAACAGGCCCCGGTGTGTGATGTTCCCCTTCCTGTGTCCAAGTGTTCTCATTGTTCAATTCCCACCTATGAGTGAGAACATGCGGTGTTTGGTTTTTTGTCCTTGCGATAGTTTGCTGAGAATGATGGTTTCCAGCTTCATCCTACACCATGGAATACTATGCAGCCACAAAACAAGTTTTTAAAAACATGTAACTCCACTCCTCCTCCACTTTCCTAAGACCATTTCAGTACCAGAACCATCACGCTGCAGCAACTTGACTTTTACCAGGATAAATGACAAAACAAAAAGAATATTTGTATTCTGCTACAAATATTTTTGAATTCAGGGTTTTACTAGAGGTTTAACTATAAATAATTTAGTATCAGAAGTTTTTCTTAACTCACACGTGTGTGTACCTTTCTAACTCAAGGCACAGGCGGCACAATGTCAAAGATAAAACATCTCTTTGGATTGCTGGGAACTTTTTCACAATAACCCCAACCTACCTGCCAAGCCTCAATAGCTGCCCTGTGTTCACAAGATGATTTCATGTTTTCCACTCTATATTTATCCCTAAGACTCTAGGATACAGTCTGACTTTCTCTCCTTTCCACAGATGCCAACACCTATTTCCTGGAGTATTCTCTCTCCCCGGTACTCCTGAATATGTCTGAATAAGACATAACCCTGGAGCCTTGCTGACCCTGGACATAAACACCCCAGAGTGTTTCCCCTTAGGGTTTGCTGTTTCTCATTAAAAAGAAGTTAAAACATTACTGAATACTTCATAAATGTTTTCAGTGAAGTTGTCCTTTGTCTATTTCCTTGCTTCCCTTTCTAAAGATCCATACAACTTGGTTGCCTCTGAGCTATTTTCTTACTGATAATCCCCACTCTCAGCCTTCTCAGTCACAGGAGACAACTATTATAAATTAGTTCACCATTGGTGTCCTTAGTAATTCACAAGTTGGGAGACTCTTGTGTGCACCCCTACTTCAAGGGGACTCATCCTCAACATCACAGATTCCTCCCCTTATCCCTTAAATATGCACCTTTGGCATATTTTCTGCCTTGTCTTTTTCATTTTCTTAGCTCCTACTTTTGATTCTGCCTAACGCCACCCTCTTTTTCTGTGCCCAATGAAAAATTATATCCCAGCATGGGCTGCCATAGTTCTAGTAGCTGACAATGAAAGAAAGTGGACAAGCTGCGGCAGAGACCTAGAAGCCATGCCCTCTTGAAAACTGTCTTTCTGGCCCAACTTGGGTCAACACAGAATATGTGGCCTCATAGTTCACAAAACGATGAATGAGCTTTAGCTAGAGCTCTCTGACAATGAGATAGGCAACCTTGCAAGATGAGCTGTGACAGAGGTCAAAGATACTAAAAGAAACCCTGAAAATAAATAGCAAGCCATTAAAAACCCATGTAAATTATTGAAGTATTTATAGGTAAAATGAAATAATGTTTTGGATTTGCTTTACAATATTTCAGCAAAAAATGTTATGATTGGGGGGAATAGATGACACAAAATTGGCAAAATGTTGAGAAATTTTTAAAGCAGGGTAAGGAGTACATGTTCTCTCCTGCCTTTTGCATACCTGAAAATTTTTTTTTATAATGTGATGTTTCAAAATCTCATGCAACTGCATCTGCACTCACCCAGTCCAACTATGAGATACTCCATGGTTAGACACTGAACCTGGCACTATTGAAGGTAGCTGGTGTCCAGAGAAAGTGGAACAGAGTTTAAGATAACTGTGGATTCCAGGAAATTCCATAAATGTTGACTCTTCTATGACAGTGTCTTTCTCTTCACTGAGATATTATTTGTGCTCACAAGGGGAGCAGATTCTTCTGATGAACCCAAGTTTGCGACCAGTTAGGAACATCAAGTCTCTATGTAAGAAGGAGAAACTGTACTTAGGGTTCCCAAAAATTCAGTATCTTGAAGAATAAGGCTGAGTCTAAAGGAATTCCACCAGAAATCATAACATGAGAAACTATGGTTAGTATGTGTTGGATCTGATTTTTCAAGGTGTAAACTGCTCCCTGAGAACTGAGTACCAGCAGATAGTTGATTTACTCTTTTCGGTAATTTGAACAGTGTTCCACAAGTTATAACTTCAGTGGGCTAACATTCCAGTCATCTTCACAGATGATGCACCAATCATCTTCCAGAGAGCTTAAGTAGTAAACTAATTCAGCTGATTACCACAGCAACTCAAGATAAGGTGGATATTTTTCTATTTATCCAAAGAGCTTGGTAAACAAGATTATTCTCAACTGTTGTGTAAACTGCAGGTCTGCTTCACTCTAAGCAGCAGATATGGTTCTTTCCAGAATATAAATAAGCTGAATTCTTATTTTCTATATGGGAAATATCAGCTGTCTAAAGTCATTATTAAATTATTTTGTAAGGCACATAATCTCAAGTGCAGCAATCTCCATTAGCATAGTGACTTGATGACATCATTTAGGGTAAAAAAAATATAACTCCTTCTCTCTCCCATTCTACTTCTTTGAATCTCTGATGTAATAGGTTATCTGTTGTGATGAAAGTATATCCTAAGAAGATACTCCAGCCCTGCAATATCTTAAATATGATAGAGAAGATAAATGTGGACTGGGTGGCAGTTCTTGTTCTTGTGTCAATTGTTATAAGATTAAGGAATTTGACCGATGTTGGACAAATACAGAAAATTTCTTTTATAAATGTGATAATTTGTATTTAAGTATATATCATTTACTTATGAAGATTACTTAAGTTTTTTTTTTTTTTTTTTTGAGAAAGAGTTTTGCTCTTGTCACCCAGGCTGGAGTGTAATGGCACAATGGCACAATCTCGGCTCACTGCAACCTCCGCCTCCAGGTTCAATCAATTCTCCAGCCTTAGCCTCCTGAGTAGCTGGGATTACAGGTAACTGCCACCACGCCCAGCTCATTTTTGTATTTTTAGTAGAGACGGGGTTTCCGCATGTTGGGAAAGCTGGTCTGGAACTCCTGACCTCAAGTGATCCACCTGCCTCAGCCTCCCAAAGTACTGGGATTATAGGCAAGAGCCACCGTGCTGGCTAAGGTTTTCTTAATTGTACTATTTTATATATTATGGCTTACTGTGGTGAAAATACACAAACACAGGAGTTAGAGTAGATTCAAAGTGAGGGAATGTTCAATGTTCCTGTTAAACCAAGAACATAAATGAGCATACATACAACACTGGGATATTAGAAAAAGGAAAATATAATTTTTCCATTGTTAAAGGAGCATAGGACTCTAGTTTACTCAGAATGACTACCTGATAACTAAATGTTCTGCCACACATTTTAACAAATTAATCAACAAGTAAAGTATCTGCAGTTTGTGCCAGTGAAAAATATCAGTGTTTTTGTTCTACACTTCTGTTCCTGAGCTCTCTATAAAATCAGCCAAGGCACAGCCTGCTAATAATGGGGCTTTAATGTAATACAGCCTACTCACAATGGCGGTCATGAAGAATGTCATTCTTTTCTTCGTGTTAAGAGGAAGACCAACTTACAGCAAGCCCTTGAAAGAAAAAAAAAATGACCTGCTGCTTTCTCCCTTTAGGATACAAATCCAGTAAGTATTTGAAAACTTTTATAAAACAGTCTCTCTTCACCCATGAAAACAAGAAATAAAACATCCTGGGAGGATAGAAATGCTTCACGGAATGTTCAGATGACCATGTGGAACAAAGGGAGAAGCTTTTGCCCAAGAGAGCTAAGTATATATACATATGAGATGTCACGTTCTGCTCCAAGGAGCAAGATCGTAACAAGTGGTAATCTCGTACTCAGTAGCCTTTTTTAAAATAAACATAAATATATTCAAATAAGAATTATTTAATTAAGAGGGAAAAACTCAACTAAAGTCTAGAGTATTGCTTGTGGCAGAAAAATCACTAAAGCTAAACATAGAAGTATAGTGTTCGTGTTTCCCAAATCAAAAATTAAAACATCACCAAAAATGAATTGGACAATTTCAATCAGAAATATCCTGGAAAATCTGGGATGTATCACTATTATTCTTTAGCTTACTTTACCAAGCTGTTTATCTATTTTTCAGAAATTGACTCTACTGACATTTCCTAGGGGTTTGCACAGGGGCTTGTTGTCCTTCCTCTCAAGTGAATGCTGAGTAAGTTCCAGCTTCCCATAGGAACATTTGGTTTCTCTGTTTCTCTTAATCCCACCCCAAAACATATACACTTTTCTCTTTCCAAAGAAGTCATTGTTCCTTTCTCATTGCAGGCTTTTTACTAGACTGAACACAGGCTAGTAACAGAGGGGTGAAGACACTTATCTACGACAGCTCAGGATACAACTCAGGGGATCTTTTTTAACGTGGTAGGTTGAAGTGTGTCTCCTCCCATGTAAATACTAAGTTATCTTTCAAGGTCTAATAGATGTTTCAGAATCTCCATAAAAGCTTTCTTACTATTACTGGTATGTTAATGTGTGTGTGTGTTTTCTTGGTGGAACTAGATGTACACTTGTCTCTTGCCTGTTCCTGAATGAGGAGTGTAGGCTTCGTATGTTCTCATATCGGTGTGTTCTCTAGGGAAATATACGTGTTCCTCCTTGACAAATGACTTATTGTGGTAAAGCAATAAATGATAAAGGAAGACTATAAAAATCTGGGGAAAACTCTCACATTAATTACTATCTATAAACCAATTACATTGACTAAGCATTTCCTCTATCAAGTCACCTGATCATCACTGCAGCTATTTTTCTTCTATTTGTAAATGAAGAAACAGACTCAAAGAGAATATGATCTCACTATGCAAAGGATAGAAGGAGCCAGGAGTAAAATCCTGGCCTGATAAAAGAGCCAGGAGTAAAATCTTGGCCCAAATTCTGACCTCTTTTCCATGACACAGAAAGTTTTTCTTTTCTCTATCCACAACATTGTCTTAAAATTTAAGGTGAACTCCTTTCTGGCAAAGCATACAGAGGAACACAGAATGATATGAAAACACTTGCCCATGTGAAGGCAGCTAGAGTGCAGAAGAGTTTCCAAGTTTGGAAAACTACACAGGATATAGAAAAAGTATTTGCCAAAATTCAATACTTACCCCTGATAAAAACTCTCAGAAACACAGGCATAGAGGAGAACTTCAGTTTGATGAAGAGTATCTACAAAAAACCTACAGCTAACATTACACATGATGATAAAAGACTGAATGCTTCCTCACTATTCTCAGAAACAAGGCAAGCATTTCTGCTCTCACTGCTTTTATTCAATATAGTACTGGAAGTTCTAGCCAGTCCAAGAAGACAAGAAAACGAAATAAATGGTAGACTGACTGCAAAGAAAGAAAGAAAACAGTCCCTACTTCCAGATGACAGGTTTTTCTGTTTAGAAAAGCCCAAAGAATCTATAAAAAAAGTGCATAGAACTAATAAGTGAGTTCAGTAAGGTTGCAAGATACAAGATAAACATACAAAATAAATTGTGTTTCTATATACTAGCAATATATATGTGAACACCAAAATTGAAAACAGTAACACTTATAATCACTCAAAAAATAAAAATATTTAGGTATAATAAATATAACAATAGTTCTAACTTGTATACTGAAAACTATAAAACACTGATGAAATAAATCAAAGAAGATCAAACACCGCATATTCTCACTCATAGGTGGGAATTGAACAATGAGATCACATGGACACAGGAAGGGGAATATCACACTCTGGGGACCCTTGTGGGGTGGGGGGAGGGGGGAGGGATAGCATTGGGAGATATACCTAATGCTAGATGACGAGTTAGTGGGTGCAGTGCACCAGCATGGCACATGTATACATATGTAACTAACCTGCACAATGTGCACATGTACCCTAAAACTTAAAGTATAATAAAAAAAAATCAAAGAAGATGTAAGTAAATGAGGATACATATTGTGTTCATGGATTCGAAGATACTACATAAAAAACATGTAAATTCTCCCATAATTGACATTACAAGTTTAACAAAATTCCTATAAAATATCTCAGCAAAATATTTTGTATATATAGATTATTCTAAAATTCATATGAGGAGAAAAATTAGAATTGCTAAATATATTTGAAAAAATTAATTATGAAGTGGGAGGAATCACTCTATCTACCTTCAATACATATTATACTACATCATTTCATTTATATAACAATCTTGAAATCACATAATTATAGGAATAGTAGTTGCCAGGGGCTAAGCAGGGAATGGGGTCAGGAGGGAAGTCATCATGGCTGTAAAAGCACAAAATGAAGGATTCTTGTAGTGATGAAAATGCTATTTATCATGACTGTATCAATGTCAATATTCTGATTGTGATATTGTATTATAGTTTTGCAAGATATCACCGTTGGGGCAAACTGAGTAAAAGATACAGAGTATCTCTCTGTATTATTTCTTGCAACTGCATGTCAATCTACCATTATCTCAAAAAAGTTGATTAAAAACAAGATGAGGAGGAATTGACTAGTCAAAGACAAGAGGCAAGACTAATCTCAGAAAAGAAAATAACATGTACAAAATCTCCTATTCTTTATTCATCCTATCTCCATCCTTTATCTTCTGTGTACACTCAGAATTCCAGAACTATCTTTTTTTTTTTTTTTTTTGAGATGGAGTCTTGCTCTGTCACCCAGGCTGGAGTGTGGTGGCGCGATCTTGGCTCACTGCAAGCTCTTGCTCTGTCACCCAGGCTGGAGTGTGGTGGCGCGATCTTGGCTCACTGCAAGCTCTGCCTCCCAGGTTCACGCCATTCTCCTGCCTCAGCCTCCCAAGTAGCTGGGACTACAGCCACCCGCCACCATGCCAGGCTAATTTTTTGTATTTTTAGTAGAGACGGGGTTTCACCGTGTTAGCCAGGATGGTCTCGATCTCCTGACCTCGTGATCTGCCCGCCTCGGCCTCCCAAGGTGCTGGGATCACAGGCGTGAGCCACTGTGTCCGGCCAACTATCTATTTTTAAATGCCTCTTGTATCCCTTTATTTCCATTCTCACATCTAGCATCCCTAATCAAATAGTCATACTTTAGTATTTGAGTTAATAGAAGAACCATTACTTGGTTTCATGATACAACATTTTTCCCTGTATTTTTCTGACAGTTGAAAGTTTTTAAACATGGAAAGGGGGAAGCTAAACAGAGAAGTCCTGCTTTGGAGTGTGCTCCCAATCTGGTGTGGACCCAGCTTGTAGATGCAACAGAAAAACTGTTAAATGGTATCTAAACGGCAATGACAAATTGTTGGGTACCAGAAAAGTGTTTTTCATCTAACTAAATGTAGGTCATAATAATACAATAATAGCAACTGAGATTTTACAAAATGTCATATATGCATTTAATGAAAGTATAAGCAAGTAAGATCAAATTCCACAGAGAAATGTTTTAATGTTTCATCATTATATGTGTTGTTTGCTGTAGGTTTATTATAGATTTCCTTTATCAAATGAGAAATATCTCTTCTATTCCAAGTTTGCTGAGAGATTTAATCATGAACAGGAGTTACCTTTTTTTCAAACGCTTTTCAGCATCTATTGAGATGATTATATGATTTTTCTCCTTTATTCTGTTAAATATGATGACTTGCACTACTGATTTTCAAATATGAAACTAACCTTGCATTCCCTGGTAAATTTGTCTTTATGCATATCACTGGGTTTAATTTTCTAATGTTTTATTACGAATTTTTATGTCTATGCTCATAACATTATTGGTCCATGATTTCTTTTCTAATAATGTCCTTGTCAGGTTTTCATGTCAAGTAATGCTAGCCTCATAAAACAAGCTGGGAAGTGTTCTTTTCTCCATTATTTTCTTAAATAAATTGCATAAGATTAGTATCTTTTTTTCTTAAATATTTAGAGAATTAATGAAGCTATCTGGATCAAGAATTCTTTATATGGGAAGTTTTAATAATTACTATATTATCTGACCTCATCACTGCTATCCAGCATTGTAACTAGAGGCCCTAGCTAGAGCAATTAGACAGAAAATAAAAGTTTAAGGCATAACTAGGATCTAGAACCAGAAATACCATTTGACTCAGCAATCCCATTACTGGGTATATATACATAGGCATATAAATCATTCTACTATAAAGACACATGCACACATATGTTTATTGCAGCACTATTTACAATAGCAAAGACATGGAACCAGTCCATATGCCCATCAGTGACAGACTGGATAAAGGAAATGTGACACACATACACCATGGAATACTTTGCAGCCATAAAAAGGAATGAGATAATGTCTTCTGCAGGTACATGGATGAAGCTGGAAGCTATCATCCTCAGCAAACTAAAACAGGAACAGAAAACCAGACACCACATGTTCTCACACGTAAGTGGGAGTTGAACAATGAGAATACATGGACACAGAGAGGGGAATGACACACATCAGGGCCTGTTGAGGGAAGGGAACTTAGAGGACTGGTCAATAGGTGCAGCAAACCACCATGTCACATGTATACCTATGTAACCAACTTGCATGTTCTGCACATGTACCCTGTTTTTTTAGAAGAAATTTTTAAAAAAAGAAAAGAAATTTACAAGGACACATTTTTAACTCAAAATAAACTTTTTCAATGCTATACAAAAAAATTGTCAAAGACGTTAAACTGCCTTTATTCACAGAAGACATAATGGTGCACATAGAAAGTCCCATGAAACATACAAGGACATAGAAGCTACCTCATTTTATTGTACTTGAAAGATACTGTATTTTTTACCTATTAAATCTTTGTGGCAACCCTGCATTCAGCAAGTCTATCAGCATCATTTTTCCAACAGCATGTGCTTCCTTCATCTCTCCGTGTCACATTTTGGCAATTCTAACAATATTTCAAACATTATTTTTATCATTATATTTGTTATGGTAATCTGCGATCAATGATCTTTCATGTTACTACCATAATGGCTTTGGGGCACCACAAATCACTCCCACGCAAGATGGTCAACTTAACAAATGTTATGTGTGTTCTAACTGCTCCACAAACTGTCTGTTCCTTATCTCACTCCCTCTCCTCTGGCCTCCCTATTCCCTGAGACAAAACAATAGTGAAATTAAAACAATTAATAACCCTCCAGGAACCTCTAAGTTTTCAAGTGAAAGGAAGAGTCACACAACTTTCACTTTATTTTTATTTTTATTTATTTATTTTTTATTATTATACTTTAAGTTTTAGGGTACATGTGCACAATGTGCAGGTTAGTTACGTATGTATACATGTGCCATGTTGGTGTGCTGCACCCATTAACTCGTCATTTAGCATTAGGTATATCTCCTAATGCTATCCCTCCCCACTCCCCTCACCCCACAACAGTCCCCAGAGTGTGATGTTCCCCTTCCTGTGTCCATGTGTTCTCATTGTTCAATTCCCATCTATGAGTGAGAACAAGAGGTGTTTGGTTTTTTGTCCTTGGGATAGTTTACTGAGAATAATGATTTCCAATTTCATCCATGTCCCTACAAAGGACATGAACTCATCATTTTTTATGGCTGCATAGTATTCCATGGTGTATATCTGCCACATTTTCTTAATCCGGTCTATCACTGTTGGACATTTGGGTTGGTTCCAAGTCTTTGCTATTGTGAATAGTGCCGCAATAAACATACGTGTGCATGTGTCTTTATAGCAGCATGATTTACAGTCCTTTGGGTATATACCCAGTAATGGGATGGCTGGGTCAAATGGTATTTCTAGTTCTAGATCCCTGAGGAATCGCCACAGTGACTTCCACAATGGTTGAACTAGTTTACAGTCCCACCAACAGTGTAAAAGTGTTCCTATTTCTCCACATCCTCTCCAGCACCTGTTCTTTCCTGACTTTTTAATGATTGCCATTCTAACTGGTGTGAGATGGTATCTCATTGTGGTTTTGATTTGCATTTCTCTGATGGCCAGTGATGATGAGCATTTTTTCATGCGTCTTTTGGCTGCATAAATGTCTTCTTTTGAGAAGTGCCTGTTCATATCCTTTGCCCACTTTTTGATGGGGTTGTTTGTTTTTTTCTTGTAAATTTGTTTGAGTTCATTGTAGATTCTGGATATTAGCCCTTTGTCAGATGAGTAGGTTGCGAAAATTTTCTCCCATTTTGTAGGTTGCCTGTTCATTCTGATGATAGTTTCTTTTGCTGTGCAGAAGCTCTTTAGTTTAATTAGATCCCATTTGTCAATTTTGGCTTTTGTTGCCATTGCTTTTGATGTTTTAGACATGAAGTCCTTGCCCATGCCTATGTCCTGAATGGTAGCATATCTACAACTATCTGATCTTCGACAAACCTGAGAAAAACAAGCAATGGGGAAAGGATTCCCTATTTAACAAATGGTGCTGGGAAAACTGGCTAGCCATATGTAGAAAGCTGAAACTGGATCCCTTCCTTACACCTTATACAAAAATTAATTCAAGATGGATTAAAGACTTAAACCTTAGACCTAAAACCATAAAAACCCTAGAAGAAAACCTAGGCGTTACCATTCAGGACAACTTTCACTTTAAATCAAAATATTAACATTTACAAGAGTTTGGACAAAGTTGATTCCAATCCGCATGGGTAACTTTGAGGGGTTCAGGATATCAGAGGAGGAAGTAACTGCTACTAACCATTAAAAACAAGTTGAAAGTTAAATTTAAAATTCTATACAATTTACAATATCAAAGACTAGAAAACGCTTGTGAATACATTTAATAAAAGACTTAGGCTATCTTCACTGAAACTACAAAACATTGGTGAGATAAATTAGTGATGATCTAAATAAATTGAGAGAGATAATAGACTCACGGGTTGCAAAACTAAATGTTGTAAACATATTAATTCTCCCTAAATTAACCTATAGACTCAAAGCAATACCAATCAAACTCTGAGCCAGCTTTTTAAGAAATTGATAAGCTGATGTTAAAATTCATATGTAGTTTTAAAGGATTTCAAATTGCTAAAACATCTTAAAAGAGAAAAACAAAGTTAGAGAACGTATGCTAACTAACTTTAAAATTTAACTAAGAGTATGGTACTGGCATACAGTAGACAAATAGACAACAAAATATGGAGTCCATCAATAAACTCACACTTATATAAGTGACTTATGGCTTTTGTAAAAGGCACCAGTGCAATTAAATGTGGAGAGAAACATCTTTTTGATGAATGTACTAGAATAAGTGGATATGTATATGAAAAGGAAATTAATCTTGACCTTATACTATACATGAAGATTTACTTGAGATGGATTATATAAGCCATAAATGTATAAGCTAAAAGTCTGAAGATCCTAGAAGAAAAAAAAAGAGATTATATCATAAACTTGATAGGCAAATAGTTCTTAGACAGTATGCTAAAACTAATGATAACAGAAAACACTGATAAAATAGGGTTTATCAATATTTTAAAATTATTCTCTTCAAAAGACATCCTTTAAGAAATTGAAAAGGCAAGCTACATTCTGGGAGAGAATATTCACAATTCCCATATTAGAATCATATCCACAATACGTAAGGAACATGTATGAAATCTATAAGAAGACAAATTCACTTTTAAAATGAGTGAAAAGACATAGATATTTTACAAAGGAAGATGTGTAAGTAGCCAATAAGCAGAAGAAAAGTTATCCAACATCATTATTCATCAGAGAAATGCCATTTAAAACCACAGTGAGTTACTACTACACACCCTTTAACATATTAAAAAGGTAAATGACATTAAAGCATTGGCTAGAACACAGAGTATGTCATTCAGTGGGTAACAGGTAGTGAAGAATGGTATAACCAATTTGGAAAACTAACCACTTCTCATAAATCTAAATATGCACCTAGCTTATGCTCTAGCCGTCCCATTTCTAAGTACTCACTCAAGAGACATTAAAGCCAATTGGCATAAAAAATTGTACATGAATGTTCATGGCACCTTCATAATATTCCCAAACTGGAAACAACCCAAATATCCATTGTGTGGCATACTCACACAATGGAAGATATAAACTACTAGTACATGTAACAACCCAGATAAATCTCAAAACCATTACACCAAGCTAAATAATCCAGGCACTTCATCCATGTCCTTGAAAAGGACATGAACTCATCCTTTTTTATGGCTGCACAGTATTCCATGGTGTGTATGTGCCACAGTTTCTTTATTCAGTGTATCATTGATGGGCATTTGAGTTGGTTCCAAGTCTTTGCTATCGTGAAGAGTGCTGCAGTAGACATACATGTGCATGTGTCTTTATAGGAGAATGATTTATAATCCTTTGGGTATATACCCAGTAATGGGATTGCATCATTCTCAGCAAACTAACACAGGAACAGAAAACCAAACACTGCACATTCTCACTCATAAGTGGGAGTTGAACAATGAGAACACATGGACACAGAGCGGGGAACATCACACACCGGGGCCTTTTGTGGGGTGGGAGTCTAGGGGAAGGATAACATTAGGAGAAACACCTAATGTAGTTGACAGGTTGATGGGTGTAGCAAACCACCATGGCACGTGTATACCTATGTAACAAACCTGCACGTTCTGCACATGTATCCCACAACTTAAAGGTGTAATAAATAAATAAATAAATAAATCCAGGCACAACAGAGTACCCACTGTATGTTTCCATTTATATGAAGTTCGAGAACAGCTAACACTAAACTATAGTGACAGAAATCAGTGGTTGCCTCTATGAGTGATAGAGGAGAAGGAGGAGTGAGGGGCATGAGGAATTTTCTGAAAGGATGGGAAGGTGCATAAAGAAATTTCTAGAATGACAGAATTCATCTGTATCTTAATGAAGTTTTGTTCACAAGTATATACACCTGTCAAAATTTATTGAACTTAATACTTTAACTCTCATATTTTATTATATATAAATTATATCTCAATAAAAATGTGATACTATCGTGTGTTGATAACAATTGACACCATCTATTTTCTTCCCTCTGGTCTTCTGCATTCCCCCTCTACAGGGTCCTCCTACAGGACATAAACTGAGGAAAGTATAAGTTGAAATAAGATTTCTTCAAGTCTTATCTTCATGCAAAATTCAGAATGTAATTTCTTGAGTCTTGGTGTGGCATTTTTCTAGGCTGCCCATGAGAAAACCAGGAAAACTTTATATTACTTATTCGCTTTTCTAAAATCATCCCCAGCACAAATGGTCATTTTATTTTAGAATGTAGCACAGTGAAATGTAAAACTAATGTCCTGATTTAGTGGAGTTGTTTTTTTAGCCAATGTGACAAATTCTACATTATCTGAAACAATAACAGAATTAGGACTGAGATTTGTGAAAGCCAAGAATAGCTCTTAACTGAATGATGAAAATAAATTTCAACCCCCTTCTATGTCAGGCTTAAAACAGAGCTGGCAACCAAAAACTTAAGCAACATTTTTTTCATCTCCTTATCTTTACCCACCTTTTGGTAAAGAGTAGTATAAGAGGGAGAAAATGTGTGAAAAAAAAGGACAACAAATTTCCAGTATTGAGACAGCCTGAAAATGTTCCCAATCTTAAACATCTCAAAGCATATCCCAGAGATGTGGCTTTATTTACTCCTTTTCTTATAAAATAAGTGCTGCAAAAATCCAAAGGATGCCTATAACTTTGCAATTGCAAGAGAATGGTGATATTGAATGCGGATCACACTTTGAATATGTCTGGCCCCTTGTCTTCAACGGTTTGGTTAATGTATTGCTAATACCCTGACCCAATAGACTGAAACCTCAATGTTTGCTAAAAGAAGATGACTGCTAAGATACCAAAATGGAAATAAATGCACAAACAAAGCAACAAGATGGAAGCCAGGCTTAATGGACTCATCAAATCTATTAAGCGTGACCCTTCTTCCTTCAGAAACTCTTAACTATATATGGGCACCAGTCAAACAGGTAACATGTTTTTTACTCTTTGAAGCAGTAACATTTTTGATTAATCCTTTCAGCTGTTTGTTTCTAATAGTAGTAAAAGGGAAATAAAACAGACCATAAAGTAAATCCTGAGAGGACCAGATGGAGAGATGTCGTAAGGATAACAGACACTAATATTCTGTCATCTAAGCTTGGAAGGAGGCACAGTTGTGGAGGAGGAGTTTACTACCCTTTCCCACACATGTAGCTCTCCGCTTTCCATGATGGGCAGACAGTGTCCATCATTAATGTAACTCGGCATTCCTCAGTCAACAGGGTCAGCTTGGGAAAAAGCTGTGTCCAGGAGGTTGACTTCACTGACTTCTCTGGTCTTCTTTCAGCACAAAACAAGCTGTACCCCTTCCTCCTTTGCCCTTAACAGACCTGCTTCCTGCTAGTCACCTGGGAAAAATCTCATAATCAGTTTCACAGAGATGGGTAAATAACAGATAGGATGTTATGAGTGTGTTATCAGAGATAATTTTTTATGGCAATCAATAGTATGTTTGTAAAGAGTAAATGATACAAAAAGCTGATGTTCTTTGTGTGAAATGTGAGACGTGAATTGAGACTTCAGTTGTCTCCTCTCAATTGTGTAAGCCTACATAGGGGAGGGAGGATGAAGATGCTATGACTGTAAGGATCTTGCAGATTGTGTTATATAAACAATGCTTTGCATGGATTTAGATGTCTAGCTAATCAAACAGAGGGGTATGTAGAAATAAGGTGCTAAAATAAATAATTTCAGCTTCTCTCTTAAGCTGACATTGCCCTAACAGATTTTCTTCCCCTCTTGGTCTTCTTAACCACCATAAACAAGCTTGATCCTATGGGAAAATCTTTTTCTAGCATCAAATAAAGCCTTCTGGAGCAAATACTTCAGGGACTGAGAAAATAATTGTGATTCGCTTCTCACATTGCAGTTGGTGATGGGGTAGAATGCAGAGTAGGAATTCTCTCTCTCTCATAACAGTGGACAGCCCTGGGAGCAAGTAAATACGCGCTGCTGCAGTGCAGTGGAACCCCATGCCCCAGATATAGTATTTGGCCAACTTTTCAAATATATAGTCAGGTATATTGGTTAATCATACATAAAGCCCTAGGAAGCAGAGCAAGGATTCATTAACCCGCAGGCAAGGTTAAATAAAGTACTTCCTGAACACAGTGAGGTTCAAGAAACACGTTATTTACTTCCTCTAAGAGTATGGCATGTGAGTGAAACTTGAACACTTGCTAGTCACTCAAACAAAAGCAGCTGGAATTACAAATGAGTAATGTACAATGGGATGGAGACAGCACAGTACAGTAAACACAGTGTGGATCTGAATGCATTCCCAAGCACCTTGGGCAAGTAAGCCTCTCAGTTTCAAGTCTCTTAATTATAAAATACCTTCTTAAAGGGCTATGTGAGGGTGATTAGCAAGACGTTATATGTTGGGGTATCAAGACTGGGGTCTCAGGTATAGACATGTTTATATAAATTGGGATTACAGCTGGACACAAGAAAGAAAATCTATGGTACAGATAAGGCCACACAGGTCACTCTTCCCTGTGCAGCCTCTGGAGGAAATGAGCCAAAAACTAGTCATTAGTGGGCAGAATGCCCAGAGCAGTGCAGGCCTGTCCAGGGCAGGAGCTGGAGAAGTAGTTATAAGTGTGAGGAAAAAAAGGCAGAGTGCAACTCCAGGAACTACAAAACTAGCAGTGCCCACTGGGTTCAGAGTTAGAGGTGATAATGCTCTCTCTAGTAAGGAACTTCAGCTTCCACGTAAATTTCCCTTATCTACCTGAATAGGTAGATAAGGGAAACCAAATCAACCCCCACTCCAGTGCCTAGAAAATGGCAGACATTCAATAAAGATAATTAGAATCATTACTAGGAAGTTTTGCAATAAAATTTTGCACTTTTTGTAACTATAACATTGTCCCTTCATTCTTCCATTTGAATAGATAGGAGCAGTTGTACTTGTCCACTATAATCATAGTACTTGTTACAGGGGCCACTGAGATCCTACCTAAGGAGTGGTTCCAGCTGCTTAGATGGAATGCTCTGGAATGCAAGGTTTTCTTTCCAGGGATTAGAAGTGAGAGGATATCCAAACATCAGCAGCATCCCATGGTGTATTCATTCATTGTTGCGTTGCTATAAAGAAATACCCGAGAATGGTTAATTTTTGAAGGAAGGGGATTTAATTGACTCATGGTTCTGCAGGCTGTAGAGGAAGCATGATGCTGGCATCTGCTCAGCTTCTGGGGAGGCCTCAGGAAACTTACAATCATGGTGGAAGGCAAAGAGGGTGTAGCCACGTCACACGGCCAAAGCAAGAGTGAGAGAGAGGGGCGAAGCATCACACGCTTTTAAAGACTAGATCTCAGGAGAACTCACTCGCTATCATGAGGACAGTACCAAGGGGATAGTACTAAACTCTTCATGAGAAACTCATCCCTATAATTTAGTTACCTGCCACAAGGCCCCACCTCCAACATTGGGAATTAGAATTCAACATGAGATTTGGGCAGAGACACACATTCAGACTATATTACATGGGAATCCCACAAGATTTCATCCTTAGTACCTTCTAGCTCTAGGTAAAAGATATGTCATTGGCTGCAACAGCAGGTTAACATTGATCAAGGAAATTTTAAGTTCTCTGGGTGCATATTTTCATACCAGGAATGTTGCTTCTGCCACTTATATTGAGGCAGATGTGAACAACATACTTTAACATCTTTAAGTTGTTAGAAACAAAACAGCTAAGTACCTAGAAGGATGTGTTTCAGTTCAACACCTCTTCAGAATATGTGCTTTCCAATCCTCCACACTGCTCATACCTGGTCATTCAGAACCACTCTAGATACTAGTAACTTAGATCCAAAGAATAACAAATAGTTATGAACTAAAATAATAACTAATAGTTGCTGATATTGCTGCAATAATCTAGGGATGAAATTGAGTCAGGGAGGCAAGAAGAGCAAGTAAACTTAAAAAAACCCTGATATATGAGAAAAATTAGAGATGGACTAGTTTTTAGTTTTTCTTTCCTTCTCTTACATTATGAGAGTGATTGTTTGGATAGATTTGACTCTATAGATAATTAAAACAGCAGTGTCTGTCCAGGTGAATGCCGCAGTCTCCACTGATATTTTACTGCATGATTCCATTAATTTAATAATAGAAGACAAGTTATGGCTCCTTAATTGACTACTGTTTACTTTTTAAAAGAAGTAATTAAAACTCAAAAATCCCTTGGCTTTTCTTTAGACAGTTTTCCAAGTTTGTGTGTAACCTTCCAAAATCTAACAACAGGTACCAAATGTTTTCTTTCAAAATAGCTGCATACATGTTGGGAGGGTGGATAATTGTTGTAGTTTCTCATCTCTCAGGTTTTTTTTTTGATGACTGATTTTCATCATAAGAGTTCATTTTTGCTGTTTTTCTTTAAATATAATTAAAGCCCTTCAACATTTTTATCTCTGAAATGAGATCATTCACAATGCTCATTAGAATATGATAAATCTACTTTGGAAGGTGGCTTCTGTATAAAAGTAAAATATCAATATCAATAATGTAAAAAATAATACTGAGATAATACTAATCAGCCTTATATCATAGGGGTGTTACAGCTGATTGGGATCTTCCTGATCTTCTAGTCAATTCCATCTCTAATGTTCACTTTGGAAACTTTCAGAGAGGAAGAGATTGAGATTGAGAAAGAACCAATAAATTGCTCAAAGTGACACAGCAAGTTAGTGACAAAGCCAAGAATAAAACACAGTAGGTGGCCCAACAAATCAGAATACTGGTTTTCACTATGGCCCACTCTAATAATAGTAACAACAATAATCTTATGATAAGTGTTTATGCTCTTTATAAAGTCCTTTACAGACATTACTTCATTTATCCTCATAAGAATCTTATAAACAAAAATTACCATTTCCTTATCAAATCCAGAACTGAACTCGTGCTCCTCTCCCTATTCACCTCTGTTCCTTGTCTATGGCTACCAGTCTCAGCCCCACTGCAATTCTCTCTATTGCCCAAGCCAAAAAACCATGAAATTATCCTTGATTCATCTCCTCCTCACATCCCGATTTTCAATCCATTGGCAAATCCCAACGGCTGTGACTTCAAAATATATCTCAAATTTGATTACTTCTTCCTTGTCCAAGTCCAAATGACAAGCCTAGATTACAGATATCTGGCATATACTGGATGTTAAATAAATACTAGCTGAATGTTGAATGCACAGTCTCCTAATTGGTCTCCCCCCAAGCCCTTCCATCCCTGCTTCCTTCACTGTCTATCACTGTAGTCCAGTGACAATGTAAAGCAGGTCATATCCCCTCTTCACTCAAAACCTCTTAATGCATTCTCATCACACCTAAAATCAACCTTTAAATCTAATCATCTTGCCCACTTAGCTCCAGTCACTCTGTTCTTCTTGCTGGTCTTTGAGCATCCCAAGCATTCTCTTGCCCATAACTTCCACATTATCAAAAACCAACAAAATTGTTTTGAAACATCAATTACCTTGCCTTCCACAAAACAGTCATCTTCCTGATTTCCTCCTAACTATTGGATTATTCTGTTTCTCCTTGTAGGCTCATTCTCCTGGATGTGGCTAATAACTGTTGTAGTTCTCCACCTCTCATCAATGCTCATTCCCGAGTTTGTGAATCTAGATTTCTCTTCTAGAGTCCAGATCCAACTGCCTTTTCACATTTCTTTTACATGAGTCACAGGAATGGCAAATACATGTTCAAAACCAAATAGGTGATCCATGCTCCTAATCAAGCACTTATTTAGAAAAATGATCAAATTCATAAAACTCAGGTCTTTGAGCATTCCGTATCTCCATAAACGGCACCCCCATCCATTTTATTATATGATGCAGAGTTCTATGTCACCTTAAACATCTTTCTCTTCCTCACCTCCTCACATCTTCATATCAATGAATTCTATTAATTCTGCCCATCGTCCCCAAACTCTCTATCTCTCTCCATCTCTACCACAAACATCCATCTAAGCTACCACTGTTTCATCCAGATGATTGAAGTGAAAGTCTGTCTGTGTCCACACAGTCAGTTCTCCACACCACAACTATAATAATGTATTGAAAAAGCACATCTGCTCATGTTACAGTCTTTGATTCAAGCTTCCCATTGCTTAAAATTCCTTAAAATGGCCATCAAAGCACTGCCTGATCTAGCTCCTGCCTATATCCTCCCTCTTAGCTTATATAGTACTCTCCCACACTCTCTGTCCTTCAGCCATGTTTGCCTTATTTTTAAGCTCCATCCCACTGAAGATTCTTTGCAAATGTTGTTCCCTCTACTAAGAACACTGTTCCCTCCCCTTGTTACTCAGGTAACTCATAGTCATCTTTAATTACTAGCCCAAGGGCCATTTATTTAATGAAACCTTCCTTCACTCCCCTACCCTCTGACCTAGAGTTTGGGACTAATTTACAAATTTCAGCTTTTCCAAAAGTGATATACAGAGAGAGCCAACTGGCTCAGAGTTGCAAAGAGTATTAAACTGTTGGTAAGATGTCTTGCCAATAGTAAACAGTCAACGAATATTATTTCCTCCTCTCCTGCAATGTTACCCACCTCCTATGATTGTGTAAGACCTAGAATACTGCTGCCTTAATCTATACTTTGGGGATTGAAATAAAAACAGAATGACCCTTTCTTTCCACCTCTATAAAAAATAATTTGACTAGCATTTGGGAGCCCATAATTCTTCAATGAATTCCACTTCTGAATTATTATGCCAGTTTTTATTAGAATACACAAATTCCAATGACCTGAGATTCATATTTTCAAATTGCTCCAAAAGATATTGTCAAATTATATAAGCACGCTGGGAACCAGGGAGGTAGAGAACAAGAAATGTCTACAAAACTAGAAGAAAGCTATGACAGGTCAAATCCCCTATCAGCAAATATCACTGCATGACCAAGAAAAGACTCCCAATATTAGGCAATGCTCATTTAGTAGGATAGCATTCATTTTGCATAAAAATGTAGATAGTCACTTGTGGCTTGTTGTAATGAGATGTGATTTATATAGCAACTCATGCTTAATAATAATTAAAAAAACAGAACTGTCAGTTTACTTACAGGTGACAGATGCATCAGAATCCTAAAGGTCTTAGTTCTCTCTACTGATTACGTCCACTGTTAAGTGCACTTGAGTTTTAGAATTTATTTTCTAATCATTCAGCTCTTACAGTTCACCTCTCTTTTACAGATCACCACCTTGGACAGGAAATTAGAGAGTGTGGGTGTATGTGACCGTGCTTGACATTAGTTAGACATTCAGTTTTGCATTTGTGTATGTGTACTATAAAAACATTTACATGCATATGTGGACCCTGTGATATGGAAACAATAATAATGGTCCATTGGAGCACGGTGCTTCTTTCTTTCCACAGACCCCTCTCTGCTAGCACAGTCCCCTGTGGAAGCAATTCACATGATATCGATCTAGGGGACAGGAGAAATTGGATTAGGAAAATGGCTCCACAGTCTTACGAATTACATTCTTTTTTCTTTTCCTGTAACCAATTCATGTTTAGGAGAGGGAATTTCACCTCCTGGGAAATTATATTTGGAATCACAGTAACTGGTTTCCTCTTCTACTGTGGCTGTAGGTTGACCTTCAGGAAAGAAAATGGCTTCTCCTGGTGGAAGGTGGTATTGAGAGAATGGAATCATCCTTTCTACAAGCAACGTGGAGAAACTAAATGTGTCAAGGAGAAATCTCCAGAAAACTCATCTATGTAGTCTTCATATATTATGCAGAGGCATGAATTTTAAACAACTGCTGGCTTGGCTTCCAAAAATAAAAAAAATAAACAAACAGATTTTAAAATATTGCTTGCAAAAGAGTATAAACAAGCCTTAATTTGCAAACACTTAATTCTATCTGATATATGTAATCCATTTATAATTCCACCATCTATGAAGATATATATATATATATATATCATATATATCACCTTCAGTGTATCCTTGCCCCGTTTCTTGTCCCCTTTTCCCATTACTGTCTTTGCTTCCAACACAGAGAGGAAAAAAAATATAATGCAAAACAAAACATTAACTTTTAAATAGAAAGCACAAAAGAAAAAGAAAAAATTGAATTAAGAAAGATAAAATTTGTGTAAAGCAAGAAAAGTTTAGTGATCTGAGAATTCAATTGCGGTTGCTCTATTTCAGCTTACATACTACATACTTTGAATATATTCCCTCTACACTTCTTCAATCTTTTTCTATATTTTCTTGTGCTGCTTAGAATCCTACTAATTAAAGACACTGGGATTGGCAAGTATCATTTTTGAAAATGACAATATATCTAGGAGGATTAAGAAAAAATTGCAATTTATTGTGAATGAAGGTTTTTATAAAAACTGATCATTTATTTTTTCTAGATTGTAAAACTAATACATTAGAAAACGGAATAAACTATAAATAATCACTTTATATCCAATCTGTATACATTTAATATTTGGAGCTTTTTCTTTCCTTGTTTTATATGTATTTTTCTAGAGTTGATATTATACTACTTTCAACTTGAATTTTCTTAGCATTTAAACTTATGTACTATCCTCTGTCATGGAGAAGTTTTCATAAACATAGTTTTTAATGGCTGCATAATGCTGCATTGTATTGTATAATGCACAATTTACTTAACCATTCTTCCAATGTTGTACATTTAGGCAGTTTTCAAATTTTTATTACTGAAAAGAAAGTCGCTGTGATTAACATCTTTATGCAAAAACCTTTGCATTTCAGTATATTTTCTCAGGCTAGAATCTGAGAGGAGAAATTTGAGGGTCAGAGGTAGGGTACATTGATTCCCGTATCACTGTACTTGGAGTTTCTGTCTGATGTATGGGTTACTCTCAGGGATTAGACAGGCTACTGCTAATCAAAGTGGAGCAAAAAATAGATGAAAGTGAAAGGAGGAGTGCCAAAAATTGAGAGAGGGAGAGAAAGGTGAAAAGATGCCAAAGATATACTTCAACCTATTACAAAATTTTATCTTGGGCTGGCCCTGCATAAGAAAAAAGGACCTTTATTCTATTTTCTTTACACATGATCTCCTGTTGTCTGTATCTAGGTCTTGGACTAAAAATGTCACTGCTCTAGGTCAGCCATAATATTACAAGTTAAAAAATAAAAATTTGTGTTTGCTTGTATGGTTATACGCATTCCAAATTCAGAACAAAGAACTAAAATCTAACAGTGAGGCAAAATGTGAAATAGTTAAAGGCAAAATTTCAGACAAGTGATTGGTTCAAACATTGGCCCAATCACTTGTGACCATAAGCAAAATACTTAACTTCTTTGCCCTCAATCTTCTCATCTGTGAAATGGGCACAATTAGCAGTACCCATAAGATTATTGTGAGGACTCAATGAGTTAATGGCAGAAGGTGTTTAGAATGTTTATAATAGTGCCTGGAATATACTAAGCACTATAAAAGTATTTGTTGTTATTATCATAAATAAGTTTGGAGAAAAACATTTCATCTATAAGCTAAAACCAACCTTTTTAGTATGAAAAGAATGTTGACAGAGAATAAACTGGAATAGTAGGAAATCATTTAATTTTTTACAACAGTATTACAATATGGTAGAAGAAAGGTTATATTTTATTTTATGCAATGTTTGGCAAAGAACAACAAAAATGGTTAAAAGTTGACCTTGCAAAGTATTGCTGATAGATAGTATTGAAGTCAAGACAATAAATTCAACCAAAGACTACTGGATAATCTTTGTGTTGATCACTGTAAGAAGTCATTCAGCCTTCAGACTAAAAAGATAACTGAAGTTAAAATAGTAAATATACATCAGCAGCCAAGAAGCCTGGGATATATTTCAACCCTAAAGACCCAGACAAGCTCATTTCAAGATGACATGTGGATTTGAAACAAGTCATATTCCTAGATTCATCTTAAACAAAACAGCCAGGTATTCCAGGGAGGCCTGTGTTAATCGAGTTGACAGATTGTGAAGTGGAAGCCTAATAAAGCCAACTAACATGGCCAAGGTCACCAAAACAAAGTGGAGGCAGGGAGAAAAATATTCTTGTGACCACACAGGCATCTCCCTCCGGCAGAAGGGCCTAAACTCTAGAAAAAGTAATTAATTGGAAGAATATAAGAGAAGAGACTATGCTTACCACATTACACAAAACAGGTACCCTCAGGAAATGCTGGATGATGATGAGGAGACACTCTGAATTGAATTAATTAACTGTAAAAGAATTTCCATTTCCGAATTTGTCACTCCATATGAGACTGTGTGTCTCTTGCTTATGTGACAAGAGTGGTATAGGAGAGCAGAGCAGTGACACAAACCCAGGCAGTGCCTTGTGTGAAATCCCACAACACTCTTCCAACACTTTTTTTGTGGATACACAGTAGGTGTATATATTCACGGGGTACATGGGATGCTTTGATACAGGCATGCAATGTGAAATAATCACATCATGGAGAATGGGGTATCCATCCCCTCAAGCATTTATCCTGTGGGTTACAAAGAATCCAACTGCACTCTTCAGGTTATTTTAAAATGTACAATTAAATTATTATTGACTATAGTCTCCCTGCTGTGCTATCAAATAGTAGGTCTTATGCATTCTTTCTAACTACCTTTTTGTACCTATTAACCACCCCTACCTCCCCAACCACCAGCCCCCACTACCCTTCCCAGCCTCTGGTAACCATCCTTCTACTCTCTAGGTCCATTAGTTCAATTGTTTTGATTTTAAGATTCCACAAATAAGTAAGAACATGTGACATTTGTCTTTCTGTGCCTGGTTTATTTCACTTAAAATAATGGCCTCCAGTTCCATCCATGTTGTTGCAAATAACAAGACCTCCTTCTGTGTTATGGCTAAAGAGTACTCAATTGTATATAAGCACCACATTTTCTTTATCCATTCAACTGCTGATGGACACTTAGGTTGATCCCAAATCTTAGCTACTGTCAACAGTGCTGCAACACGCATGAGAGCGTAGATACCTCTTTGATATACTGATTTATTTTCTTTTGGGTTATACCCAGCAGTGAGATTGCTGGATCATACGGTAGCTCTATTTTTAGTTTTTTGAAGAACCTCCAAATTATTACTCATAGCCAACACTTCTTGTATCGGGCCTACCTGTAGAGCAAGATAAAGTATTTGTAATATGCTATTGCTTCCAATAAATCAATGGTAAGGACTACATCTTTAACTCCTTTGCATCACGTTCAGCATCTAAGCACAGTGTCTTGATTGTAGCAAACACTGCAAAAGTGTGAAGTGATGAAAAACGTCGTCTAATTTTGAACTGTTTTTGTCTGATTGGCCAATTCCATCCTGTACAGTCATTTTTAATAAATTTAACTAAGAAAATTCGGTTGTTCACATACTCTCAAAGCAAACACTTAAATTAGCAAAGCAGTTATGCTGAGAGGCTTTAGCCATTTTAGTGTTTTTCCACAAAAGCTTGGGCTTGTTGGTGGCCATGTATTCAAACATTATCCTAGGGCAGTTTTTGTTCTCTCCAAACCAAAATATGCATTCTCCGTCATCCTCTTTTCCTCCTACACATTTAACTATTGTGCCAACTAGTAAGAGTTAGTTCAGAAAAAAAAAAAGTCTTTAAGATTCAACCACGCTTGATTCTGATTTGTCAAAGTAAGAGGGATACAGAATTTCAACCAAAGTAGTTATCGTCAAGAGAGGCAGCACAAATTATTCTTCTGTGGTCCTGTCCCCAAGCTGGGTATCTGTGGTAATCTCGTGATTACTTGATTGATAACGTCAATTGATTAACATGTATTTTTCAAATAACCTCCAGCTCTCATGACATTTTACTATTCCTCTCTCTTTCTCCCTTCTTTTGAATTCTTTCCATTTACTTGATAACAATAAAGATACTATTTATTAACTATCTACAGGTATTTAACATGGCTCTTCAGTACATCTTGGCTCATTCATGCTCACAGCAAGCATAAGCGGTAGGTATCATCACAGAGTCTCAATGTATACATAAAGAAATATTAATGCCCCTCAAAGAATCTTGGCTAGTAAACCACAGGGCCAGGATTCTAGCTTGGATTTTTCTCATGGTCAAGACGATGATGTTTCCATCAGTAAAACAGTCTCATTTTCAGGGGTGGATAAAGTAGTTTGTTCTCCTATTACCTCCAGCTTAGCATAGGAAATATAGAGATGTCTCTTCTAAGTCCTACTGTCACCTAAATCTAAACTTGTCCAATTTAACAGTTCGTATCACTTTGTAATTATATTTGCAAATCATGTCACCCACATCTGAACCACCGAGTTTTACAGTGGCCGCCACGACTCCTATATCCTGCCATTCCACCTGCTTAGTAGTTAAAGCACTTTGAACTCATCAGATATCCTCAAACCAAGTGTGTTTGCGCAGGCCGTTCCCTGTGTCGGGGGACAAGCATGGCCATCTACTATTTATCCTTGAAGCCTTCCCCTTCCACCAGCTACTCAGCAGGTTTCAAACATCTCTATCCTAATAGTCATAAAATAAAAGCAGGATCGTGCATTCATCTACCTCTTCCTCTTAACTCTACTTGTAAAATTTTCTTCCTCATTTTCTCCCTAATTCCTGGAAAATTCTGACAAGCATTAACTCTGCAATTCATTATTCATTAAAAATTGAGTTAGTTATATCATAATCGTCCCACCCTTTTCATTCCTACTGTGAAACCTCAACATTATTTTTCAGAGAATAGATTGTTTAAGGTCCCCATTTTGTTAAAAGTTAGAAAATTCTAAGGACTCTTTGCTAAGCCATGATGTCACACTGCCAGAAAGCTAGCTTGATTTGAAACACTACTCAGTGAATAAAAGCAGCACAATTCTGTATTTTGTTTTCTTTTCTCTTTGTTTTACAAGGAAAATACCAAAAATTATTACTACAGTATTCACAGTGTTGAATAATACATCTGTGCAAAGTAAGGACACAGCTTCCTGTGTGTGTTTCAGTTAAAGCAGTACCATACAGAGCAAGGACCGATTTAGCAAAGATTCAAGACCCATGGGCTTGGAAGGTTCTATGTAAGTGAAAAGCCCTGAGGCATCAAGATCCTTAACTTCATGATAAGCCAGCCTCTGGGGACAACCAAAAACAGTAATAAATCCACCGGAAACTGAGCATACAGGGAACAAGCTGAAGGTAAACCTTCCTGCTATTGGGTTGGGTGCAGGGTAGGGCTCTGCCATGGTGATCCAATGTACCAGTGAAAATACAGAAACCAGAGGGAGCCAAGAGGTGACAATAAGGTGTCTAGGACATTTTAAAGGAAGAAATAAGTTCCACAAAGTGCTTATGAAAGTACTTTTAGGTTCCCATTTTCATGTATACTGGCACAGCGTATCATGAAGCAAAGACGTTCAATCATTTCTGGTCCCTACCCAATAGACATTGGACTACAGATAGAGGATCTCTTCATTAATCCTTGAACAGGGTCAGGACAAGTAGACAAACAGCTGGCTGCACATTCTTTATATCTAGGACAGAGCTCAGAGCAGAGGCTCAGAATACCATCATGCAGCCTTTAACAACACCTGTACATGTGTATTACTCTAGAGCCAGGTGTGTTAACTCTGACCTGGGGTTGACCAATAAGAGATAACCAAAATGCAAAGGCATCTCAGAAAAAAATCTTTCAATTTTTAAAATGTAGTTTCTTCTAGTTAATTTGCATGTTCACATTGTGAGGATATAAGATTTTAATGCTAGGGACATAGCAGTTTTCTTTACTATTCCTCGGCTTCAAAACAAAGCTTTTTTTTCCAAGGTAAGGCACCACATTTTACAAAGCTACAATGTTTCTACAGAAGCTTGAAGGTTGGAAATCATATAAAGAATAATTCTCAGTGCTTTTGTAAATAATTTTATTATTCTGGGCAGATGAAAAATCATAGCTTTTGTGCCTTAGTACAGAAAGGATCTGCTGGAGCTTTAAAGCAAGACTTTCCAACATGTTCAAGCCACAGACCCTTTAAATTTCCTTCCATATTTACTATAAATTGTTGTTTACAAGAAAAAGTAGGTGTCAAGTAATAATTTTTCCTGGATGTGTGCATGTGCACACACACACCCACACACACACACCCACACACACACACATATTAAACAATATATAGAAAAAATTACCATTTATAGCTTATGATGACCATGGTAACTAGTCTTAGTGTGCACATAATTTCAGCCAAAGTCAAAGACACTTGGTACTTGAGCTTGTTGTAATATAATAATACTATCAGCAATTAACTATTATATAGTTCTTATCATGAACAGGGAATAGTACAAACTTGAACTCATTGAACTCTGACACAGTGCAGTCATACAATAGGCATGGGGCTATGCACTAGCCTACAGTGATAAGAGCCAAGGAGAACTGCTAGGAAAAGACCCCTTCCACCCTCCTGCAGAATATTATTCTTTCCATGTACCAGTGAATGTTATGTGTCTCCCACTCTGGAGAGAGGGGAAGATGTGAAAGGGAGACAACTTGTCTTTTTAATTCAGAGATTGCAAGACCGCAAGAAGGCACATTTACAATGGATGGAGAAGACTGCATACTGCCTGGAGATATTGTTATTTGAGCTCAAAACGGTGATGGGACTGGACTGTCACCCTTGGTAAATGGGTCCTAAGCAAAGAAGAAAGATTTAAGTGGATATTTGGAAAGTAGATGGATAAAATGGCTAGCTATTGAAAAAAAAATCTGTCTCTTTTTCTTTTGCACACACAGCTAGGCAACACTTGCCAGCTCATTACCAGTTAGCGGGCCTATGCCATTGAGTTCTGTCAACAGCATATGGAGGAAAATGCAGGCCTTGCTCATGAAAATGTCCCACATGTGCAAGCCCCCATTCTTTCTCCTCTCACAGAGACCTTAGAAGCCACATGTTGAAAATAGCAGAGCCACCAGATTTAAAGATACAAGGTACCTGAATTACCTTTTGAAAATGAGCTGCTACTTATAGGTAATCTCATTTTTCCTCTTACTTGAGCAAGAAATAAACATTTATTATTAATCTACTAAGACCTGTCTGGAGGAGTGTTATCTAGCATTGCAGCTAGCATAAATTTAGTACAAGACATGATAGGGAAAAGTTATAGTGTTTCAGGAAAAGGAGGGGAACCTAATCAAGTGCTAATAGGTCAAACAACATTTTCCATAGAAGACAATAGCTTTCGTTAAAAAAAAAAAAAAAAAAAAAAAAAATTCTTAAAAAAGTTGTCTGTCGTTGCTGGTTCCATATCATTCCTATTTTCTTTTTATTTTAATGCAGAATATATTTATAAAATATTAAAATGTATATACAATTTGAAGAACAATAATATGTTCAAATATCTTTCTACTATCAGACTGAGAAATGGAACAACACATTTGTAGATAGCATGACCTTCTCCAATCATAGCCCCCTCCTTCCCTCCACAGGTGACCATTATTCTGAATCTCTTTTAATCATTCTCCTAAAATTCTCTATAGTTCTACCATATATGAATGCATTTCAAAACACTATGTTGCTGAATTTTGCTTGTTTTGACCTTACAGAAATGGAATAATTTCTATGGTCTTTTCTGCTTCTTGCACTTTCCTCTTAGCATTTTGGTTTTGAAATTCATCCAGATTGATGAGTAACACTGCATTACAGTTATTTTTAACAGCTGTATAGCACTCCTATCTATCTGCCAATCTATCAGTCTATTGATTTATCTATATATCCTACTTTTGGTGGATAGTTGCAGTTTTTTTCAGTTTTTTGCCATTTCAGTAATTCTAGGAATATTCTTATATGTGCTTCCTGGTAAACATGTACAGAAGTTTCTAGACAGCATATATAGGATTGGTACTACTAACCTGTAAATAGGTCTATCTTCAAACTTTACAGCTAATGCCAAATTATTTCCAAAGCAATTGTATACCCCAAAGCAGTATTGCTTCTCATCCTACCCAAAACTTATTGTCATAATTTCTAGATTTTTGTTAATACTGGATGATAAATGATCATCTCAGTATGGTCTATTTTTCATTTTCATGATTAAGAATGTTCAGCACCTTTTAATGTTTATCGGCCATTAGGATACATTTTCTGAATAATGTCGTTTGAAGTATTTTTCAGTTTGCTTTTATGTTATTTACTACGATTGACTTTTAGATGTTCCTTATGTATTCTGGATATTGTTTCTTTGTAGGTTAAATGTATTCCATATTTCTTTTTTTGCGGCCTGTCTTCTCAGGTTTTTTGTTGTTAGTTTTCATGAAAAAAGTTAATGCATTTATTTATCTATTTATTTACTTTCAACTTTTATTTTAGATTCAGGGGGTACATGTGCAGATTTGGTACCTGGGTATATTGCACTATACTGAGCTTTGGGGTACAAATGATCCTGGCACCAAGGTACTGAACATATACTTCATAGGTAGGTTTTCAACCCTCCCCCTGTTCCCTCCTGCCCCTAAGGGTCCCCAGAGTCTCTTGTTGCCATCTATATGTCCATGAATAGCCAGTGTTTGGCTCCCACTTGTAAGTGAGAACATGCGATATTTGGTTTTCTGTTCTTGTGTTAATTTGCTTAGAATAATGGCCTCCAGCTACATCCATGTTGCTGCAAAGGGCATTATTTCATTCTTTGTATGGCTATGTAGTATTCCATGGTGCATATGTACCACATTTTCTTTATCCAGTCTACTGTTGGTGGGCCCTAGGCTGATTTCCATGTCTTTGCTACTGTGAATAGTGCTGTGATGAACATGCAAGTGCATGTATCTTTTTGGTAAAACGATTTGTTTTCTTTTGAATATATACCCATTATGGGATTGCTGAGTCGAAACACTTCCCATCTCAGAGTAACACCCAGAGTTCTTGTCTTAACTTTCAAGATTTTGCCAGATCAATTGCTTACCACACCTCTGCCCTCATCTACTGCTCTTCCTCTTGTATTTGTTAACATCAGAGACTTTGTGGTCCCTCTCTCTCTCTCTCTCTCTCACACACACACACATGCACTCACACAGGTACATACACACACATCGAATTCCAAGTTACCTTCATGGAGAAGGGAGAGTTATTTGCAAACTGTCAAGCTTGGCAATTTTTTGTTAGTAATGAAAGAAGTCATGGACATTTTGGTTAAGTATGGCCTTTTCTTTCTTGCCTATCATTTTCTTCTATTTAAAAATAGTAAGAATTACAGAAAAAAATCACTGAACTCTATTTTTAGCTCTGCCCTGAGGACCAACCAAGGTATTTCTCTAATTACTCATAATGCAAGACAACTGAGGGCTTACTTGAAGAATCCCTTTAGAAAATAAAAGCAGGATACCATCTGCTATAGATGAAATTGAAATTAACATTTTAATATACAGTAAAAAATTGAACTCAAAATTAGCAATGAAGAATATACCTTTAATTTAAAAGAGGCATCTCAAATATTTCTTGACTTTACTCTTCAGTCCCATGCATGGGTTTGGTCTGCTTATTTAAATACTATCATAACAATGGTAGTAAAAGTCTTTGCATTGCCTAATACATATAAAAAAAGAATAGAGAGAAGAGAAAACAAAACACTTAACATAAAACAGCCTCATTTTTTTTTCCCACAAGGCAAATGATATCAGCTGCAACAGCCTAAAACATTTATAGCTAACTAAATTTTTTATGAGATGTACTAAGAAGTTTCAATCCGTTTCTTAAGAATGATAGCCTGGTCACACAGACTCTCTCAGAGGGTAGTGCCTGTGTCTTTTTATTTTGAACTGGAATTTTCATCAAAAGGTCGAGGAAAGCTGAGTAAAAACATTGCCTTATACAATCCCAACTCTTTTATTCAAAATACTAGCTGGCTTCTTTTCTAGCAGTTTTATAAAGAAAAAAAATAGCTAGAAGAAGTAAAGTACAAATTGAAGAACACTCTCGTGCAACTGACAACACGAGCATCAAAAGAAGAGAAATTCTCATTCTCAGTAAGCAGTACACAATATTAACATTTAGATGTCATGCTCCCCCCAAATGTCATTGCTCCATTTTCTTGCTACTCCATGTCTCCATGAAATCATAAAATGCCTTCCTTGTACAATCTCCACAACAATGTTTTAGCACACAGAGTCGTAGTTACACATTATTAATATTTATGAACCTGGAGAAGTCGGTAAAGCTTGCCTTTCAGAAAGGCTACTCTGCCTAGACCCTTACCATCAAAAAAGTAATAAAATTAGCTCGGAACCACTTAGCAAAATAACCTGAAAGAAAATATATTTAGATCACAAAAGGGAAAGGAGAGCTGAAATAAACAATATAAAAAATGCTAAACCAAGATGAATACATTAATCAGAATAGCCTTTTAGAATTAGTATTGCATTACCAACCCCAGTGTGAGATAACATTCCATGAATGTACCAAGCATGATGAAAAGGCCTGGGTGGTCACATAATTGGTTTGCCGCGTGAAGACCAGCCATGACAAATTCTAACGCTTTATCAGACCTGGCTTTGTCCATCCTTCAAAGAGAAAGGGTAAAGGTAATTTCATGGGAGTAGAGCCAGAAATACTACTAGTAAATTTGGGAAGACAAACGTCTTTGCATCTATGTTGGTGCATCTTACGTGTGCACTTACAAACACATACACATACGTGCACACCACACACACACAGATGTAGTTATTGGTTGAATTGGGCCCCCAAAGGAGGTGTGTTAAAGTCCTAACCCCCGGTGCCTCAGAATGTGACCTTATTTGGAAATAAATTTGTGGCAGATGTAATTAGTTAAGATGAATTCATAATGGAGTAGGTTAGACCCTTAATCCAATTTGGCTGGTGTACTTACAAAAAGATGAAAATGTGTACACAGAGAGAGACAGAGACATACAGGGAGACACCATCGAATGACAGAGGTGGAGACTGAAGCATTGCAGCTACAAGCCAGCAAACACCAAGGATTGACAGACATGGCCAGAAAACAGGGAGAGGCAAGGAAGGATCTGCCAGAACCCCACAGGGAGCATGGCCCTGCCAACACCTTGATTTTGGTTTCTGTTGTTTTTAAGCCACCCAGTTTGTGTTTCTTTGCACCAACAGCCTTAGGAAATGCATACATACACACACACAGATTTCACTGAAAGACCTGGAAAGAGAGGCCTAATAATGGTATGATAATAATGTGTATTATCATACCCAGTTCAGAAAAGCCTAGTTTAAGAAAATCAATGTATGCTTTGAGAATAAGAAATTATAATTGACTGTAAATACCTTGATTTTTATCATGAATATCAGTACAGCAGGGCATTATACATGCATTAAGTAGTGATAGACACTCAGCTATGTAAGAACCCCTGCTGGCTTAAAAACGAAGTCAAGCTCTTACCTTTGAAAGGCAGAAGAGGGAAAGCACTACAGTACCAACCTCCTGTTCTCTAACCACCTTAGTTACTCTTGCAAAAGACTTTTCAGTAACGAGATCAGTTTCTTGCATAAACGTTTTCATTTCTCCGTGGCCGCTATGAGGACTTTGGTTATAGGCCTCATCCTCTTCCATCTAGATTTCTGCAACATCCTCCCTACTGGTTTTACCCCTTTCCAAATCCAATCTGCTCACTGCCATATGGCTGCTACACTGTTATTTAAAGCTATTAAATGGCCTCTATGTGTGTAAAACTCTGTTTCCTAAAGCATTAGTCCAGTAGAATGTTAATATATATAATGTTGAATATTATCCTTAAGTTCAAAAGAAATGAAAAATTCTAGCTATAAAAAAATTAAACAGAATTCTTTACTAGATGACTCAGAATCTCTAATAAGCTAATGTCCATGGCCAGATTTCAAGGGGAAAGGCCAGCGAGCAATGTTTTCCAAATATATTGAACTGTGGAACGCTTTCTTGTCAAATCTTAGGGGACTAGGTGCCATAGAACAGACCTTAAGGGACAATTTCCCTCAGGCATGAGAAGGTGGTCTAATTGACCTAAAGCATACAGCCTGCTCCCATCCAAGTTATTTACATTATTCTAAAAGAATGAGTTAACCCTCAAATTCTCTGATAGGCAGCTTACTAAGGGATTTAACCAAGAGAAAGGTAGATTTTTGTCATATGTGGGAGATAATTTTACCTTGGAGAAATGTGCTAGACAGGACAGCAGTACCAAATATTCTATCCTGGGCATCATTCATTCATTCATTTATCTGTTCAATAAGTCAACATTTATTGTGTCCCTAGTAAGTGTCAGGCCCAGCTCTCAGTCTTCAAAACGCAATTCTTGGTCTGAACCTCTAGAGAACACAGTCAGGTAGATGATGCAGTCAAGTTAAAATTAAAAAGAAATTACAACATAATAATTCTGTAATTGAGACCAGGGCCCTAGGTAATCAGATAACAAGGGCCACATAACACAGTCTTGGATTTGGGGAAAAATCCTAGGAGAAGTGGTATCTACAATGAGTTTGGAAGGATGAATTGAAGGAAAACCAAGCAAAAAGACTGGAGAAGGTGTATCAAATTCTTTATCTCACACCACTTCTAGGCTCTCAGATACCCAAAACCTGGAATAAAATCTATGTTACATCTCTAGTTTCAACTCTAATAAGTTTGATATCTTTCCTAGAAGTCTGAGAAGAATTCTTAGACCCAGTCTTGGCCTAGATGGAAAGAGTTCTATAATCTCACAGTGATGTCTGCGACTGGAAAGAGGCAGAACCAAAACCATGTATTTGTCCAACATGCTCTAAAGATTTTACATTTTATTTACAATGGGTCTCAGAGGTAATAGGACTGAGGATTGTGTAACACAGTGATATTGTGGGAGAGGGTGAATTGTGTGTGCATGTGTGTGTACGTACATACATACATATGACAAATAACAACTGCTACTTATCTACTTGAGTTATATATAATGAGGAATGGCCTTGCCATAGAAAATATTGAACAAACATCAGTGGAATTGTGTTTACTTCGTGTAAAGTATTTTATTAGAGCAAGCAGAACTTTTGAAATTGTCTAGTTCAATCTATTGTATTTTAATACTTGAGACATTTGAGACTCAGAGATGTTAAACACCTGCAAAAGGAAGTATGTCTAGTTAGTGGCAGGTCTACATAGAAACTAAGTTTTTTTTTCTTGGTTTTGTTTCTTGGCTGCCTGTGCAAGATTGGGTCTACTACCCAATTATGGATAATTAAAGATTTATTCATTCAAATATAATCATGAGGTAGCTATCATGTGTCCGTCACTGTTCTAGGTGTTGGGGATGAAGACAGACATCTCTAGGATAATAGAGGATAAGCCAAGGTAAGAATGTCCAGACTGCCAGGTGCAGAGTGGATTCTAGCTCATGCAGGGAAGTCAGCGAAGGCCTCACTGAGAAAGTGGCATGTGGACAGAAACCAAAGAAAGTAAGGAATTAAGCCATGCTTATACAAAGTAAGCTCATTCTTAGCACTGGAAGCAGTTAGTGCAAGGGTTCTGCAGTGCTTCTGAAACATCAGTGATGCCCCTATGTCTGAAGCAGAGTGACCTGAGGGCGGTGGTAGAAAAAGAGGTCAGGTGGCATTAATAGACCAGATGATAAAGGGCATTGAAGGTCATGGTAAGGACCTTGGGAATTTACACTGAATGAGGTCAGAAGTTCATGGAGGGTTTGAGTAAAGGAGCTGTATGACTTTTGACTACAGTCTTAGAAGGCTCATTCTGGCTAATGAATAAAGGATAAAATGGCAAGAAAAGGACAGATGTGAGGTTATTTTAATAATCCAGGCAAAAGATGACGGATGGTAGCAGTTAAAGTGGTAAGAAGTGCCAAGTTCTAGATACATGCAGAGAATTTCTTATGGATGGGATATGAGGTGTAAGAGAAAGAGAAATGATTCCAAAGTTTTGATCCTGATCTGCTAGAAAACAGGAGATGCCATCTTGCGAGGCTGTGGGATAATTAGCGAGTGAGCAGCAGTTCCTGCATAATGCTAAAAAGTTAAGTTAAAAAGAAATACATCTATGTGTTGGCAAATATATAGATTTACATCATTTCATTATAACTACAGGGTATACCACAAAGAACTAAACAAACAAAGTCAACAAAATGAAAACTAATAGTCTGATGAAAGTGCTTATCATTTTTAATGCCTACAAAATATTGCACTGAGGTTCCACTTAAAGACTAAAGTATACAGTTTTTGTTAACCATTCACATGTATAATCATATTGTACAGATACAAAAAGCGGAAATGTAGAAAAAATAGAAATTTAAATTACTTTAAATTCCTACAATTTAACATCAAGGGAAGACAGTGGGGTTTTTTTTGGTGATAAAGGTAAAGCTCTAATTTAAGTTGCAATTAGCATAGTAAGTGTAGCTTTTACTAACACTAAATATGGCCCTTAAATAAATCTACTCCTCTTTAGACTCCAAATCTGCAAACATACAATTTGTCATAAACCACTTTTGGCTTAGAAAAAATTGTTTTAGGAGTAAGTAGTGGGTGTGTGGAGGATGGGGGTGGTCAGGGCACATCATACACTGTGAATTTAAAGTGTACCTAAACACCCTCATCCTTCTGTACCACTCTCAGTCCCCAGAAATTGACTTGGAAATTCCCCCAGTAGAATTAGTAATACATTGGCTGAGCGCATTTTTTTTCAGAAGGCCATTACCAAGTTGCTCAAGAAGCTTTTAGCCTGTGTCCAGGTGTCCATGACGCACACATAGGTGGAGGACTTCTCCAGGCCTCTGACAGCATCACAGATGACCTAATCTTTCATGGGACCCTTAGAGTCATAATAGGGATGGCTGGAAGCAGGAAAGAGGGAGGGTAATACAAACAAAAACCTAAGAGGCTAGGGAGACTTAGAATAAAAAAACAGGAGAGGAGGGTATGTGTATCTAAGGTAGAATCATTTCCTACTCCACAGGTTCAGTCCTGGTGCAGCATCTGGAAACACACACATTTATCAGCCCCTGTGATCCAAATGAGAGTGAGTAAATTTTTGCAGTAACATCCAGAGAAAACTGGGGGAAAATATAATGTTTAATACGTAATCCTTATTTTTAGCAGGTGCTGAAGTTTAAGACTGAAGAAGAATCTACTTGTTCCTAAAATTTAAAATGCAGTTAACCAAAAACAAACAAACAAAAAAAAGCTTCCACTTTTTGAAAGAAAGAAATCAGTTATCTAATTCTAGTAATCAAATCCTTTAGAAGACAACATGATAATTATTTTCTATATGTGGGCCATATCATTTAAAAAAACTTAAAATAATTATAGCAAATGTTATTGTCATTCTTTTGACTCTGATGCCCGAGGAAAGGGAGGAGACAGACTCACTGTTGCCAGTTACAATCTGTACTCTATTTCTTTATTTTTGTAAGAAAAGGTCTTACTCTGTCACCCAGGCTGGAGTGCAGTGGCATGATCATGGTCCACTACAGCCTTGAACTCCTGGGCTCAAGCGATCTTCCTGCCTCAGCCTTCCAGGCAGCTAGGGCTATAGGTACGCGCCACCATGCCTGGCTTTTTTTTAATTTTTTGTAGACATGGGGTCTTGCTATGTTGCCCAGGTTAGTCTTGAACTCCTGACCTCATGCAATCCTCTCAAAGCCTGGGATTACATGCATGAGCCACTGCCCAGGCCTGTGCTCTGCTTAAAAAGATGGTAAGGCACACACATGGCAGGGATGGAGTCATGAAACAGCTGGAGACAGAGGAAATATTAGAGTAGCATTGTGTAAGATCTTGCAGATCACCTAGCCCGAGTCCAGTGACCCAAACAAGAGGTATTTCTAGCCTCTGCAGGACCAGGAAATTTATATCTTTCGGAATGGAAAACTTACATCTTTCAAAGGAGCTGTCCTCTCATTGTTTGGAAAGCTGACAGCAGAGTCATGTGGGCGGGGGGGCAGAGAGGTTCACTCTTAGAAACTGTGACATGTACAGAACCCATACAAATCAGGGACATGGTGCAAAGTATGACATGTGGATGGCAACTGGGTTTGCCATTACCAGGCAAGCCTTCACACTCTGTCCTCTGGCTGGTAACCCTTCCACAGGTGTAACCTGGACTTTTCTGGAGATGGGTGGGAGATGAAAGAGAACAAGAGCTGCAACTCCTCAAAATCTTCCAGGAGTCAGAAATCCAATAGCCAGTCAAGTTCAGTGTCCACAGGCACATCCAGTGAACTACACCAAACTGTAGCCTCTGGGAAAGAACATGGCCAGGATTCAAACAACACATTCTTAAAATGTCTCCATTTTATTCTAAGTGAGACCACATATTGTTTTATACCTACAGTGGCAGGATTTTGTAAAGATTCTTAGAGAGTTTAAAGAACTACCATTTGATCCTGCACTCTCACTACTGGGTGTTTTCCCAAAGGAAGAGAAATCTTTATATCAAAAAGATACCTGCACCTGTATACTTAACACAGCACTACTCACAACAGCAAAGAATATGGAATCAACCTAAGTGTCCATCAGTGCATGACTGGGAAAAAAAAATGTAATAGGTACACAATGGAATGCTATTCAGCCATAAAAAAAAAAAAACAGAATAAAGTCATGTCTTTTGCAGCAACATGGATGAAACTGGAGGCCATTGTCTTAATTGAAACAAGTCAGTCACAGAAACATAAATGCTGCATGTTCTCATTTACAAGTGGGAGCTAAATAATGCATACACATGGACACAGAGTATAAAAAGATAGACAATAGAAACTCAGAAGGGTGGGGACATAGGAGAGGAATAAATAATGAGAAATTATTTAATGGGCACAATATACTTGTTTTTTGTTTTTTGAGACAGAGTCTCACTCTTACACCCAGGCTTGAGTGCAGTGGCCTGGTGCAATCACGGCTCACTGCAACCTCTGCCTCCTGGGTTCAAGCAATTCTCCTGCCTCAGCCTCCTGAGTAGCTGAGATTACAGGGGCGCATCACCATGCCCGGCTAATTTTTGTATTTTTAGTAGAGATGGAGTTTCACCATGTTGACCAGCCAGGCTGGTTTTGAACTCCTGACCTCAAGTAATCTACCTGCCTCAACTTCCCAAAGTGCTGGGATTCTAGGCAGGAGACACTGTCTCTGGCCAATATATGTTATTTGGATGGTAACTACCCTAAAAGTCCTGACTTTAATGCTACACAATCTATCCATCTAACAAAATTACACTTACAGCCTAAAATTCATACTTATAATTTTTTTAAAAAAATAACTAGATTAAAATGGAGGAACCTAATGTATCTTTCTCCATTTGTATACGTTCCAAAAATAGATGGTGGGGTGTGGGGGCGGCTACTGGACCACAGGCTAACTAGCAAAAGTAGCCCAATATCTTAGGCATTGAAGCTGTATATATACCTGATGATTTGCCTCTGCTGCTTTCAATGAGTGAAGTATCCAAACCAGAGTTTTTATGAGCAAAGACAGAAGCACAGTTACGTTAAATAATTGGTAAGGCAAAGCATTGTCTAATCGTGATAACGTCAGCTGTGAACAACCAGTCAATGAACTGGAACGAACCCACTGACCTTCACCCTGAAGAGGAGTGAGAAAGGTCTCCCTGCTGTCATCACCAAGAACTGGGCACTGTTTTTATGGAAAAAAACTTTCAACTCCTTACTAGTGCTAGGAAAAAAATAAATAACATTTTTACATCTGGTATCTGTGCTGAGAGGAAAAAGAGAAAGAGGATGAAGAATTAAAATGTACTGAGCACCTAACATTCGCTGGTTGATTACATCTTACTGACTCTTCACAGCAACCCCATGACAGAGGTATCATCATCCCAGAGTAAGACAAGGAAAATATTGGGTCAAATGACTCATATTAGATGTCTTGCAAATAACGTGATGAAATTCTAGTTCCAATATGCCAACTACTATTGTGCTATTTGCTAACATCTTTATTTTATTTAACATTGCAATTGCATATTGATATAGAGTCTTAGAAGTTTTCAACTGTGTTTTAGTTCAGAATTTCCTGAAATATTTATGCTTTTCTGCCCTTAAAAATTATAAATTTATTTAGTACATATATATTAACTGAGTTATGTTCTGTTTAAATATTTTTCAAATAACACTATTGATATATACTTATGGCTAAAAATGTCAAAACTATTGAAAAATGTATTTCAAAAAACAGAGACATCCTGTATGACCAAAAGTATTAATTTGTATTTATAATGTGTATACTTATATCTCTCCATGTGTAAAACAATACATATCATACATATATTTTGGTTTTTGTAAAATGTGTGTGTGTGTGTGTGTGTGTGTGTGTATGACATAATTTTGTATCCTACTTTTAAAACTTTACCTCAAGGATTTTCCTATATAATTAACATTAAACATAATTTTAATAGTTTCATGATATCTTCTTAAATCATTAAACCCTAATTCCTCTTCAGTTGGACATGTGGACTTCGGTTAGTATTTTCCACACTTGACATAAGAATAATATTTCTGTAAACACCCTTTGTATATATAGCTTTGCCTTCATGTCTGGTATATTTTTAGGTGTGAGTTTTATATGAACATTTGTTGGGTCTGCTCATTTGTAATGTTAAGGTTTGATATACATTGCCAAATCGCTTTCCAGAAAGATGAGACGTGCTTCTCCATATCATTTCCAGTATTTAGAACAATCCACTGAAGCTTTGTGAAAAGTCCTACTCCTCGAAGGAGAAAAACCGCTGTTTCAAATTCAATTAATTCAAAAAGAAAAAAACTATGTTCTTTACTCATTTTTCTATTCTGCTGTTTTTCCTGTATATTAATATCTTGACATTCTTTAAAAATCATAGATACTAAGCTTCTTCATGTTGTATGTTTAGAATACATGTTCCAAGTTTATCACTTCTCTTTTAATTTTACTTATATTGACTTTTATACATTTACTATCATTTGTGTCTTACCAAAGTTTGTTATTTCTTCTTGGTTTTTGCCTAAGTACTTCGTATTTTTATTTTATGGGATCTGGATTTCATGTTTGCTCTGAGCATCTTTCCCTACTGCAAGAGTATAAAAATGCTCCATATATTCTTCTAATACTTTGTTTTTTAATTTGACTTTATAATCCTTCTATGTTTTGCATATCTTGTAAGATAGGAATCTAACTTGATTTCTAGCCAAATTGATAGCAAATTGTCTGACGCCCATCTGTTCCCCAATCTATCTTTCCCCATTAATTTGAAACATATTTTTTAAACAACAAATTATTCAATAGTTATGTGTGTGTATATATGTCTATATGATTATCTGTATATACATGGGCATGAGTGAATGTGTCTGTGAGAGAGAAAAGAGAGTGAGTAGCCCTCATTAGAACATCTTTATATGTCATTTATATCCCCAGCCTGGCAAATATCAAAGGCATATGGGTCCACACGCACTAACAACATAGCAGTGATGCACTCCAAGGATTTGTCAGGAAGTACAGAGAGCATAAGCTTGAATTCACTACTTCCTCAACAATTATCAGAATCTTGGTTACAGAAATAATTATTGAGGTTTGCCTAAAGTCTATGCAGATTTCCATTCCTGAATCTAACCAATTTTGGATTAATCAAACCACAAGAATGTTGTTTTTGGACTGACTGCTTTTTCTTCCTGGTAAAATCAGTTTGACTGTATTGCTCTTGGCCTGCAATCATCTAACTACTTAAGGGGCATTACAGGACACACAGCTTCATGAGTTCTTGATTACCCTATACTCCGTAGGAATTCTTTCTTAGGACAAAGGGGAAATTTTTCTCTGGTCCCACTTAGAGAAAGAATTGGGCTCCTCCAGGATAACTATAAACATTGAAATAACTGTGTTTTTCTCTTAGAGTTGGCTATCAGAATATTTACAGATTTGTAACCGTCATTCAGCAGATGAACAGATCCTCAAGCATTTTTTGTGTTAACTTTATCCTCAGATTCCCCAGATCCTTTTTCATTTTCAAAACCTTACATTCTGTTTGCCCTGATTTCCTTATTTATGTTATTTTCTTACATAGTATGTATTCTGATAAACTGTCTTAAATATATTTGAGAAAAAGATGGGGCATAAGTAAATGATACAAAAATACTCTTCAGAATTTTTTTTCTGGGCCTTTTTCCTCCTTGATAAGAGTGAGTACTGGAGAAAACCAAGTTTTTCAAACCTGTCTATACTAGCTCAGCAAAAGCTTGTTTACATTCAGTGGTATATTTAGACAGTAGAATCTGGCTCTAGGTAATTTTATTAACTTACAAATCATTTTCCAATTGTAAATTTTTGTGACCCTATTTTGTCTAATATCATTATGTTCTTCTCTTTCCAAATTACACTTTCTTCTGTAAGTATTTGCCAAAGCAGATAAGACCTACATGTGAGTGGGCATAATACATGTTACTTGCCAAGGTAGAAAGCAGAATCTATTTTAATTTTGACATGACCTTCCTGCAAAGTAGCATAAAAAGGAAAAAAAAAAAAAACTTTGTTTATTTGTTTAAATCCCACCTCCAAGTCTTGCCTTCTATTCCAATATTTACTTATGTCAATATTATTCCTGACCTTCACCTAACATATATCACTGAAAGCAAACTGCCTGGGCACCATTTTTCCCATGTATAATCTGTGCGTAAATAAGTATATATACAAAAATAAGCTTTTATTACTTTACCAATGTTCTTTTTGTAAATGAAAACGTTATTACCTCAAAACTAACAGCCCAGAACCAGATGACCCTTAGAGTCTCTTCTAACTCAGAGTCAACATGGAATTTACAGACAAAACATCATCTTTCCTGTTCTCTTTGGCTCACCAAAAAATTTCAATACCTTTTCTGAGACCTTGAAATACACCAACATGTTTTGAAACAGAACATTATTATATGACCCTGAGTTTTATGAAATAGTATCATAAACAAGAATCAATGGGATTTGTGAAAAATTACCATAGAATAGTACAGTTGCATTTACCTTTGACCTTCTTGATAACTTGGTGAGCAACCTTAAAGTCCATGACTTGTAATAGTTTGTAATTTTATAAGGCATAAATTGAATTGTGTGAGCTATGAATTTAGCATGCAGCAGTGAATTGTTAATGATGATAACAATTTAACACACCAGCTTTCATACATTGATGCACCCTTTTGGTTTTTCTACTTGTCATCATATTCATATAATGCTGCAGAAAAGTTCCTTGAAAACTACCAATATTTGAGCCAAAAGTTTAAAAAAAAGTGATGCAATCAAACATAAATATGAATACTACGTAACATTTTTATGTAGTAAATAACCAATTACTTGCGAGATCTCAGCTCACTGCAACCTCTGCCTCCGGGGTTCAAGCGATTATCCTGCCTCAGCTTCCCAAATAGCTGGGACTACAGGTTTGCACCACCACACCCAGCCAATTTTTGTATTTTTAGTAGAGACGGGGTTTCACCATGTTGGCCAGGCTGGTCTCAAACTCCTGACCTCAGATGATCCACCCACCTCAGCCTCCCAAAGTGCTGGGATTACAGGCATGAGCCACCATGCCCAGCCCAAATATTTTCTATAGGAGTCTTCCCATATCTGCAGTTTCACTTCTCATGGTTTCAGTTACCCTTGGTTTGAAACTATTATGTGGAAAATTTCAGAAGTAAACAATTCCTAATTTTTAAATTATCCACTATTCTATGTGGCAAGATGAAGTCTCCCACTGTCCCGCTCTGTCCTGCCCCCTCCTACCCGGGACGTGAATCATCCCTTTGTCCAGTAGATCCTGTCTAGGAGATGTCTGCGTTATCACAATATCCTAGTGCTCTTGTACAAATCACCTTTATTTTCCTTCATGATGGCCTCGAAGTACAAGAGCAGTGATGTTGGTATACTGTTACAATTGTTTTACTATTGTATTTGTTATTGCTGTTAATCTCCTACTGTGCCTAATTTATAAATTAAACTTTATCATAGGTATGTACATATAAAAAAAAGACAATATATGTAGGACTTGGTACCAGGTGCAGTTTCAGGCATTCACTGGGGCATTCTTGAATAATTGCCCCATTCAGTAATGGAGGGCTACTGAACGTGGCCAGTGATACATTTTATAGAGGAAAATATATAGTGTAATTGACTACAGTTGAGACAGGGTATCAGTATCTACCTATACATTTGAAGAATTGAAAGAGGATATCAGGACCTACCCATTTTATGTGCCAGGGGTTTATTCTATTTAGCACTTTATGCTTATGGCTTAATTTTCATCAAACCATTTAATCATAGAAAAGCAAAGTATTTATTTTTTAAAGACTCTGGTTGTCTCATCACAGAACGATGAGAAATTAGAGGAGATGGAAAAACATCTGTGAAGGGGAAGAAACTTACATTAAGAGAATATTAGCTCTGCGAGCTGTAATCTATCAAATCAAAATAAGCAGAATGAACAGAACATTTTTGTTTGTGAAGTAAAGCTTTTTTAAAACCTGGAAACATGCACATACCACATACCCTCCTGTTTTGACAATTATGTTTTAATTATTTATTTACATATCTGAGTCCCACTAGATGGTAAGCTCCTTAAATGTAGGGAACTTATCTCTTCATGTTTATGTCTCTAGTACCTATACATAGTAGGCACTCCGTACATGTTTAAGAAACAGATAAATACTCCTTGCCTACCCTCCAGTCCAAGTACTTCTTCCCAACAACCCCTTAGACAATCGTTTTTCAATCATAAGAATAGCCTGTTGTAATGGACACACTGGTGTGCTGCCTAGAAACAACTTCAGGACTGAAATTCGTCCAATGATTGCAAGTGTTGGCTTCTGACACCTCATAACCAGACCTTCTCTGGACACTACCCTCTGTTGGAAAGAGCTATCTCCCTCAAGTTTTCACCCACTCCCTGGGGCATCCTGTATCCCATGACTGATGAATGCAAGGGTACAAACCCTCCTCCTTGCCTCATTCCAGGACAACTCTCCAGGGCCTGGAATGCCAGCTCCAGGGCTCCTTAGGATCAGATGGGATTCTACTGCAACTGCTCTGCAGTCCAGCTTCTTCTGCTCTACAGACATGCTTTTTTCACTCCCCCACTGGTATTGGTACTTCTAGCACTCCCCAATAAATCTCCTACCTCCTACATAATATTATCTGCCTCAAATTCTGTATTGCAAAACTTGACCCAGGTCACCAGTGGAGCTTTATAAAAATATACATTCCCAGACCTCATTCTAGATCTAATAAAATCAAAGTGTCTTAAAGCATGAGAAACTTTTTAAGTTTCTTAAGTTACATGCCAAAATTTTGCCTTAGATAGTTTTTATTACTATTAAAAGAGCAGACAATTCATCTGCTCTCATTGAACTTCAAGGTCTCAAGACTACTTGCTGCCAGGTTGTTGACATGTTTTTTACATTTGTACAGTCTAACCTAATACTTCTCAGGAAATTGTTTCCTTTAGTATCTCTCATCTCATTTTCAGTATTTAAAACTTTATTTGTTATACTTATATACAGATATCAATTAATAGGTAATTACAAAGCTGAAGCCGTCACCTATACTTTGTACCAGACTGTTCTTTTCTTTTTTCCCCTTTTTTTAATAGGAAAATAATCCACTAAAACCCCCTGGAAAAGTAATTTAGGTTAGGCACAGTCGATGTTCTATCTCCTATAATAAAGTGGGATGCTTGTTGCATTAAATATTTAAATATGTAGCAATCTCCAAATATTGTTTCAGACTTTGTCACTATTATGTTTAAAATAAAGGCAATAAAAACAGAAATGATCATCAATTTCACAATTTTGTGATTCCCATTAGTCATTTCTTTTCTTCAATACAATTACAGCGACTACACTTACCACTTGTGTGATGAGACATTTTCCAAAACCATCTCTGTGAAGAAAATCTCTTCACCCTAACTGTAATAGCTGTATAAAACCAATGCCATTACACAAAGTCCTAAGGCAAACATTTGTAAATTGTGAAAAGTATTTAAAAATAAACCTATTTGGCCAAGAGTTGCAAAAGAAAAAACTTAAAATGAGCACATATTTTTCCTTTGGCTGCTTTAAGCTCAGTGAGTTTTCCATTTTCAGTTGCTTTCTTTATTATAAAGAGATTGGCTCTGGAATAAAACTAGCAAAAAGAAAGGTGAGCATTTTCTATTCAAACTGAGAGTCATCTGTGTGCCAAGATCCAGAATGCTGTGCCTGGAAAAGTGCTGAGACCTCAAAACTTTGAAACATTTGTTTTTGCACAGAAATGCTGACATCTATCTGTATCAATTCAGTTCTATGAGTTGTGTGGTGCAGTATCCTCCTTCCACTACCTGAGATATTCTGCCCAACTCCCAGCAACAAACAACAGAAAATTATTCCTCCGAAAATGAGTTTTCTCAAACGTTAGCTGGGAACATATGCCAAGGCATGTTCTCAGTATCAGAGAGAGAGCCTGGAGTCAATCACCTAGATAGCTCAGTAAATGCAATCCCAACATCAGCATCATATCCTAATCCCTTTATACTTGGAACTGTTTCATAGTGAGGCAGTCACCTGGAGAAAGGCTAGTGAATTGCAGACCTTGGACCAAATCTACATGTTTTTATACAGCCTGTGGGCTAAGAGTCATTTTTTATATTTTGAAATGGTTACAAAAATCAAGAGAAAAATAACATTTCACAATAGGTGAAGATTACATGAAATTCAAATTTCTGTATCTATAAATAAAGTTTTATTGGAACAGAGCAGCCCTCATTTGTTTATGTACTATCTATGGATGCTTTCACACTACAATGGCAGAGTTGAGTAGATGCAACAGAGACCTATGGTTCACAAAAGCATAAAATATTTCTCTCTTGCCTTTTACAGAAAATATTTCTAGCCTCTGACCTAGAATGCTGTAATTTACAAGGTTGTTTTGTATGCATCTCATTCAGTCCAACAAAGTGGAGGGTATTACACAAATTCTACAGAAAAAAAAGAAAATGACATTCCAAGGTCTCATATAGCCAGTGTGAAGAATTTATTCATATTCTTTCATTTTGTCAAAGAGCTTCTCTTACAAATAAGTGGTGTATCTCAACAGATAAATTTGGTAATGCTAATTAGTATTTGGTTTATAAAAAAAAATGTTGGCATCCTTTCATTTCTCAATACAACAACCAAAAGTAATTTGCATAAAATCAGGCACTTCAGAGTATTTTAGTTTGTGAAGGAGCAAACTAAACTCTTGGAAAGCATGTTCTGCCTGATGATATTAACTAACACACTTGCCACTCAAAGAAGAAACACAAGTTTCTCTCTTCAGCTCCTCAGGTGCTCCAATGCAGTGGAAAAGAACACTGAACACATCATCTTTCCCTTGGACTCCTTTCATATTTCTCATGCAAATACAGTAGATGATTCTGACAGGGTCAAACTCTTCTGAAATTGAGTTACTACAGCAATTTTGTTCATTCTTTCTGAACACACCATTGTTCATAGTATCCCCAGCCTGAAGATATTAGTCAAGGAGAGAGTTTCATGTCTTCTCTAGGTTTTCTCTCTACATTTTGCACTTGAGTAGCTACACAATTTGTACTTTTCTTCTAATATATGAAACTGGTATGACAGTCATGAACCACCATGCCCGGCTAATATTACCTAATTATATAATATATATGATCATTATCAATTCACTTTTATTAAGTGTTTATGAATGCAAGGAGAAGAAAAAGCTCTACTAAGAAAAGTGACCAAGCAAATACTGACTAAAATCCAGGAAGAATGACATTTAGCTCCTGTTTGCCAGTAACTAAGAACGTTTGGGGAAATCTTGAACTTCTCTGTTTTCTCCACTATATGACAAAAGAGACTACATGACCTCTAGAAGCCATTTAACTTTTAAAAATAATTTCCACTTCTGAATGTACTTCGAATGCTCACTCAATCCAAGTAGGTCTCACTTTCTTCATTTCTAAATTAGAGATAGGACCTCCAGCCTAGGTAGTTAGTTACAGTAAGAAAATACATTTAAAGGACATAGTACTCCAAAGAGATAATGATGATAGGGTACTTTGTGTTTGTAGATCATTTCATGCATGATAAGCAGGTCTATTACAGTTAAAGAAGAGGCTCTGCCAGGCACCACAGCACACATCTATAGTCCCAGTTACTCAAGACTGAGATGGGAAGATGACTTGAGCCAGGAGTTCAGAGGCTGTAGCGTGTAATGATCATGCCTGTGAATAGCCAATATACTCCAGCCTGGACAACATAATAAGACTCCATCTCGAAAAGAAGGAAAAGAGAAAAGAGGTTAAAAAGTGAGAGGAATCACACGAAAAGTGGAAATAATGTTTCTTGTTTTTGAAAGTTCTGCAAATCCATGACAAAATTCCTCTTGGTACACAAGGATTTTCTCACCCTGCTCACTGATAATACCTGAGCCATTGCTAGGTGTCCTCTGTCCTCTTTACCTACCCCTGGTTAACACAGACCAACAGGATGAACTGTGCTCCTTCAAAACCCAAAATAACGAGAACACCACTCTAAACCAATAATCACTTTTCATAGTGATAGATCCCAGCAAGAAATCATACTCAATAGTTTAAAATACAAAATACCATCTTTATTTATTTTATAAGATCAAGATTAAGTTCTTAAGCAGTTTTACTAAGATGAGTTCTGCCTCAAGACCAAAATGTATAATCTCTAAGTTCATCAATATAAGATTTCTCAATTGTGAATATTTTCATATATCAATGTTGTTTTCTTAAAATGATTCTAACTATTGTTGAATTTTTTCAACACTATGACTTTATATATCATGGTCACCAAAATAGTTTACATTTAAGCTGATCAATCACCCTACAGAGGGCTTAGCAGCATCACATTAACCTTTAAAATTTAACATTTTTAACTATAAAAAAAGAAATGGGAGTAATATGGCAAAGGCATCTGACATTTGAGACTGTTGCTCCTTGGTTCTTGTCTAAGCTCTTTTCATTAGGTCATACAGACTATGGGTTAACTCTTTTACTCTATGTGTCTGGTTATTTGTCTGAATATAGAGTCAACAATAACAGTCTTGGTCATGTTTGAGAGTCAATATATAAGGCTACAATTAATTCAATCTGATGCTATCATGAACATTTAGACATAAATATAATTCAAAGAGAGCAAGGCTTGATAGGCAGTGAATTAAAATACAGAGCACTTAAAGCAATAAAAAATTATTAGATTCATTTACTCATTTACTCTTAGTAGACCTTTGCAAACAATACTATGATATACCCTGGGGACTCTGTGCCACCGTGGAAGGACAGTGAACAATAATACTAGTAAGATGACAGGAAGGAGATGCATCCAAGCCTATAAGAGAACAGATGAAAGACATCACATTAGACACTGGGGACATGACACTGATGCCCAGTGTCAAAGAGCCAGGAAGAAATTAGTTACATGAAGAGGAAGAGGATAGAGAGACCTGGGAGTAAAGTAAGCGCACATGGAAAATCGCAGTAGTATACCATGATATAGGGAACTAAAACTAGTTAGATCTGGTCTGAGTGGGCAGTGTTTTAGGGAAGTAGCCAGGGGCTGAGACCACCAGGTCCTAAGAGCCTTGTATGTCACACTAATGAGCTTGAACTTCAACCTGAAAGCCCTGAGAACTCGGTGGAAGATTTTAAGCAGGAGAATGACTAATCAGGTTTGACATTAAGAAAGATGGAAAGGAAAGTTTGGAAAGATATAAGAGTGAGTGAAGGTGCAGAAACCTGAGAAAGATGGAAAATTTGGTAGTCTCTTGCAGCAATGTAGATTGTAATCTATGAGTTCACACAGGAGGAATTCTGGTGAGAGGGATTATGATACAACAAGGAATATTTAGTAAGAAATAGAAGGTGAGCGAGTAGAAATCCAGCACAATTTCTTGCGATAACCTGGACAACTGAGGAGATGCAATATACATAGCAAACAAAGAAAAGGTCAAGAGAGATGGAACTGCAACATGCGTTTCACACACACCCCACCAGAATAAACAGCATCATGGGTTCTGGCAAAAGTAAGAAGAAGGAAGAAAAAAATCAATGCTTGCTTCAAATGTTCATATCAGAATGAAGAGGAGTGAAGAAAGCCATGATATAGCCTTAGTTTCTTTTTTCCTGCGAAGAAAGATGTGAAATTTGTCAGAGGGAGAGGGTCAAGGAACAGAATGATCTGATAGGAGGTGATGCTCTCAAACGTGAAAACATTTCCAAGGATAAGACAGACCAAAGGTAAGTTTTAAAAATATTCTATAGAAACTCTCAAGGTTTGACTACCTAAATGTATGCATAAGGGGGAGCACAGATAAATTAGGAATTATGCCTATCTTAGTTCTAAAAGATAGCAGAATGAAAAACATTAATACAACTTTACTGTGTCAAATGCAGCAGCAAATGTACCCACACAGGATTACAATATCCTATGGAAAGAATAGCCTAGATCTAATGTTTGGGGCATAATAAACACATTTGCAATTATGAGATTTTTTTATTCCCATATAAGAATGCAGAAACAAAGCCAAAATCCACTTTTCAAGAAAAAAAAATTGGCAAAGTTTCCTAAACAGAAGCCCCACTTACACCAAATCTGGTACCAATGGGTGCCAGACATCCACAGCAGGCACCAGACGGTGGAGCTCCTATCACTTGCTTCACAGATTGCTGTCTGGTTGCAATTTCTAGTCATATGTGATTTATTTGGTGGAGCAGAGAAAACCCCCTGGCTTCCCTCTATCAGTTCTGCATCCCAGCTTCAGGAATCAAAATAAACACATTTATCCACAAAGATTAGCTCCAGGTATTGCCTCTGTTTATCCATGAAGCATTCCTTTACTCCTGTGCAAAATATTGTTCAAGGAATAATTTAATTTACAAATTGTCAAGTAAGCACCTGGCTAAACAAGGGTGAGGAGAAAAGAAGCATACTCAGCTGTCATCTTAACATCTAACTTCCATAAACTCTGCATTGTTCCTTTCTTCCTTGATCTCTGACTTTCTTTCGTTTCTTGAATTAGGTCCAAGGCCATTTCATAGCATGTCTTTCTTTTTTCTTTAAAAACAAAAACAAAAACAAACAAACAAACAAAAAAACGGTTTGCCTAATGCAGGAACAGAAAACCAAATATTGCATGTTCTCACTCATAAGTGGGAGATGAATGATGAGAACACATGGACACGTGGTGGGAACAACACATACTGGGGTCTGTCAAAACAACACACACTGTTGAGGGGTGGGAGGGAGAGCATCAGGAAGAATAGCTAATGGATGCTGGGCTTAACACCTAGGTGATGGGATGATCTGTGCAGCAATCTACCGTGACACATGTTTACGTATGTAACAAACCTGCACATCCTGCACATGTACCCCAGAACTTAAAAGTTGGAAAAAAAGGCTTGCAAAATGTCAATTAATCATACACATATCTACTCAAAAATGTATATTATGTACCTGCAATGTATCAGTCACTCCACCTATCACCAGGAATAGAAAAATAAACAGGGCATATGATAAAGATAGCAAGATCATCTAATATGGGGAGATAATTAAATCATTAAAATACATTTTCATACATGCTATCATAGAGATACAAACAAGCGTTAAATTAAAATCCAGAAGGAATAACCTGGAAATATCTTTCATTAAACATGTATTTTTTTAAAAGTTATTTTTTTCCATCACACTCACACAGAAATAAGGACATTCCAGAAGGCCTTTCCAGAGTGCAGTGTTTACCCTCCCTATAACTGACAATTTTACACAAGATGTAAGAAAAGCTATGTCTAAACTAAAACCTTCTTTCTCCTACTAAATCATGCCAAAAATCAGGATCTAACTAACAAAAAACATTTGTCTTCACTAAAAAAAAAAATCATAATCCCAGGGACTGAAAATTTACACATACATCATATGGTAGTCTCTGCAGATAAATTTCCATTTCTTATCTTGACACATGTCATGCATGACTATGGCTCATCCTCAAGCATTTATGCCCCAGAAGAGGGTGTGCCATCTTTTACATCAATACTAACTTAAAATAAACCCCAGTTGACCTTCAAAATGGGGGAAAAGTAGTATAAGCATTCTAAAAATGACCTTTCTAAAGTAACCGCAGCGATTTGATGCTTTCAAAGAACCACATTACTGAGGTGTTCTAAGATGTCAGAATTGACCAACAAAGCTCCATTCTCTTCTACCCCTAACTTCGGGACTTAATTATTTCTTTTCCACAAACTTGAGAACTTCTCTGTGGGCTACACAGCTTCTAAATGATTTTTAAAAAACAAATGAAGACACAATTTCAGAAAAGAAATGTAGAATTAGCAGTTACCTTCTATACTCAGTTTAATTTTCTGAGCATTTCTCTCCTTAAAATGACCATTTAATTAAAGAATGTAAACAATTTTGTTTAAGACACTGAAGACATTTTTATTTCTCTGGCTGATAGGAAAGGATCTAACATATCAACCAAATGAGATTAAAGGAAGAAGGTATGCCTGAAACTATCTTAAAGACAGGTTACCATAAATAGATGTTTGACCAAGTTTTATCTTTAGGAGGGAACATAGACTAGAAAGAAAAGAAATGGCCACCTACCAGATTACCCGGGGAAATGAAACAAAATCAGGTGATCAGTTGGAGAGAGTTGTTTTAGCCAGATCACACTGATACATATAATCATTTTCTCAAGACAATTATGCATTAACCAAGGGCAGTAAGTACCACTGACTGGAATATCCAAATAATATATGTATACATATACATACACATATACATACATACACACATGTAGCACCTTTTACCATAACAATTAGTGTTGTCTACACTTACTATTGTAAGTTTAGGACAAGAACCTACAATATAAACAAATGCTCTTAATCATCACATATATATCTAAGAAAAATCTCATTGCAGAAATATTTTTCCTTATTAGAGATATTTGTGTTTTGCTGTTTCTCATTGGCTCTTTTTCTTGATTTCGAATAATCATTTGAGAGTATTCCAAATGTGCATCCCCTCAACAAGAAAGGCTTCTGTTGTTGAAATGTTATATCTCTGTATATAAAGTGATCCAGTTGGATATGTCTTAGGTTTATTTCTCCAGTGGCATTATTTGTGAGTATCAAGAGATAAAAACAATCAAACAATTGTGTACAAAGACTTTATTGAAGAAAACAGAGAATTGGGGATGGTACACAAATCCTGTTGCAAACATTCTGGATTTACTTGGGAGTGCACAGTATTTATGGAAGTGACTGTGCCCTGCTATAAAGTATGAAGCAGCTTAGGCCTTTGACTGCTCTGGGTGACTGAGTGCATTAAAGGATTCCTATAAGAAGCATGCCTGATACGAACGAATCCACATTCCACATACCACATCTAGCTACTGAGTCTAGTTGCACCCATTTTTCGAAGCAGGTACTTAGGGAAAGACAGGGGATGTAGAATTCTTATCTATAATTGACACACTGTTCTTTTAATACTAAGTGATGAAAGGAAGTAAATTCAAACACAACTTCAGACAAAAAAAAAAATGTAGAACTAGCAGTTATCTTCTAGACCACTTTAGTTTTCTGGGTATTTCACTCCTTACAAAAAAATGATCCTCAGCAACAAATATCCATTAGGTTAAAAAATGGGAACAGTCTTGTTTTTAAGAGAGTCAAGACATTTTTATGTCTCTGACTGATAGAAAAAGATCAAACATGTTAACCAAACTAGAATATAGAATTATGTCTACATCTACACACACATACAAGACTAAAAGACGCATTAATCACAGCATTAACACAGTAACCATGGCAATCTGTTTCCAGAGTGGTAATTCCCAACCATGATTTTTCAAAAACTTGGAATATTCCTAGGTATCTCAAAGATTGCCATGAAAAGTATCATCACCAACAATAACAACAAAAATGCCACTTATTTTTCATTCAGCTAGGTTACAACACTTTGGAGGGGGCCTTAAAATGACAAAAAAAAAGGCATCGCTGAAAATCAAATTTACTGTTTTAAAGTTTAAAAGATTGTAAATCACTTATTTTAGGACAGTAAATATAAAGCCGTGAGTTCTGTGCAAATAGCATTGGATGATACAGCTTATTCTTAGGGAAGTGAGTATGCCCAAGAAACACAATGCATGTCCCACTTTGTAAGACTGGAGCAGGGACAATTCAAAATGGTAAACAGTAATCTTCAGTGCCCTTCCTACATGTCCTCCTATAAATAAATTTTCTCTTCTCACCCAGGCCCCCATGTTAACACAATCCTTTTTTTGTTTTTCTTTTTTTTTTTTTTTTTAATGTCGAGATGGAGTCTCATTCTGTCGCCCAGGCTGGAGTGCAGTAGTGCCATCTTGGCTCACTGCAGCCACCACCTCCTGGGTTCAAGTGATTCTCCTGGCTCAGCCTCCCGAGTAGCAGGGATTACAGGTGTGCACCATCACACTCAGCAAATTTTTGTTTTTTTAGTAGACACAGGGTTTCACCATATTGGCCAGGCTTGTCTCAAACTCCTGACCTCAAGTGATCCACCTGCCTCAGCCTCCCAGTGTGCTAGGATTACAGGCGTAAGCCACTGCACCCGGTGAAAATCCTGTATCTGCTCTATCATCAATACTTAATTTTCTCTAAGCTTTTCCTTTAAGAAACTTAAAATGACAGAACAGAAAGAAAAGAAAGCAGAGAGGAAAAAGTTGGTTGTGACTTTTATTACCACTTCAGCCATGAACTGTAAGTATTACCTTGAGGAAGTATTTTCACTGTTCTAAGCTTTCTTTTCTTTAACCCATGAAATAGAGACTGAACTAAATGTTCTAGCTCTGACATTTTCTGAATACATACCAGACATAGTTTATTTTAAATTATAGAATTTAATGCGAGTTATGATCTTTATCTCTGATAGCGTTACTGTTTGATTAAACTTGCCACTCTCCAAGACTTTACCCTAAAGATTATGCATTTTAAAAATTAGAACCGTATTTAGACAGTAGTCTTCTAAATATTTCAGTAAAACTCCATAAATGTACATAAAAATACAGAGAAAAAAGCTAGAGCTGAGGGACATATTTACTTTAATAAAAGGTAATATATGTTATTAAGATAAGGATTGGCTGATAAAAGAATTTGTAAGTGGAGGCTAATTTTACAGTGTAAATCTTATTGTTTATGTTGTCCTTCTCTGATAATGTTTGAAGAGCACTGAGGCAATGTGCCAAACCAACTCTGAGATCCTTAGAAATAAGATAATTGCTATTAAGCACATATTGTTAATGCCTAGTTAACACAAAGATGCGCTTCTGAAGGAAAATAAGCATATTTTGCCATGCTCGAGTTGGAAGGCCAATGAAAGCACTGTAGATATCAACATATGTGATTTATGAACATGACTTGGTCAGCATCATGCAAAAAGAAACACAAAGAAAATTATGTTCCCTAGAAACTAAACAAAATACAAAAAACAAACAATAATAACAACAACCCAAGGGAATTGGTGGGTGGTTCCATAAAGCAGCTGCCTGATGCTAGTATATGCTCCAGAGGACAATCTCTCCTGAAATACACACTTAATATAGCTTCTCCCTCTGACTATCATTACATATTGGGTATTTATGAAACTATCTGTCAGTTTATGAAAATCTAACTGGAAGTATTATTCATGTCGATTTCATTCACGCAATTGCTATTAGGACACAAAGAAACTTCCACTAGCTTTGGAAAAAATAAATGACACATATTTTCTTAAAAAATTAAAAGCACTGTCTTGAAACTATGTATTTAAAATTCTAAATATATATGACTTTCAACTATATTTACATGAAACAATAATTCATATGTCAGGTAAAACCTCCCTGCCCTTTGATACCTAGAAGACTGCCTTCAGCCTCCAATCCCAATCCATATAGTAGTTCAAAATAAACACTTCCCATTTTCTCATGTAGAATAACTTATCCTGTTACGGAGGCTCTATCCTCAAAGTCCCACACCTTTAATCCCAAGTGACTTACCAAGTTTTGCTCCCCGCACCCAACACAGTTCCTTCCCTAAAAGTAATTATGGTGCCAACTGGTTATAATAATGATTTTTTAAAATCTTGACAAAAATAATTAAATTCATAATACAGAATTTAAATAAGAAATTGCACTGTTAAGAACAAATTTAAATAGAAGACTATTATACATTTAATTATTTCTTTGATTCAATTATATTAACATTGTTTCAGAGACATATAAACTTATTATTCATACCTCTGTTAGGAAGCTGCTCTGTACTTTTATTAAAAACTTGACAGCAGCCCATGCATTCAAGTGAACTCTGAATTGAATAGCTAGACTTTCTCTTATCCTAATCATGGATCATTTATCTCAATTAAATTGATTCATTTTTTCTTTATTTTTAAGCATTAGTCAATCTCTGACCTAAATCTATGTACATGCACCTTTTTGTCAAAGAAACTTTGTCTTGTTTCCACCTCTAATATTACATATTTTATAGGTTTGTATTCTCTAATTGCATTCTATTCAATAAATACAACATATATTTACAATTCAAGACTTTATCATGACCCTAATTATAAGCTTTATATTAAATAGATCTCCTTAATCAATTATACATTCATCCTTTCATAAATATAGCAATAACTCTGGGTTTCATTTCTATGATCAGTGAAATGTCACTGGTAAAAGAAAAATGCAGACATAAAAATATTCTTTGAAAGGTATTTTTTATATGCAAAATTTAAATATTTGCAAGGATCTTTGACAAATGGACACAGCGGGTATTTAGAGAAAAAAAAATCACAAGGCTACTAAAGTTACAATTAGCCTATTCATGGTAGAACAGTTTCTTCATTTTTTAATCATATCTTCAAGGGTCATCACAAATTTATGGATGTCAGTTTTGCAAAATTCAGGGAATGAATTATTTCAATGAGAGAGTTAGCAACTTATAAGAAAGAGCTCAAGCCTTCCTTAATTTGAGGGAATAGTACTAGATAAGGTGATAGACAGATAGATAGATGAATTGATAGATACATGGATAGATGCATATAGATGATTTATCTCAGGAAGCAAAGTGCTTTTTATTTCCTAACTGTGGTATACAATATGCTTAGTCATAACAGCACAACAAGGATCACTTTTCTCACATAGAACTCTAAATTCAAGCATTTTATGGTCAGAATAGTAACAAAGCAGTCCATGAATGTGGAGAACTTACCAAAAATGAAAACTAGATAATACTCATCAGGATTCAAAAGGAAAAATGGAGGAAAAAAAGTAAATGTGCTTTATCCACCTTACCATTCTAAACCCTGGCTAATTTTATAGCCTAAAAATCCACACTTCATTTTAAACTACATACATGACCACCAATACAAAAAAAATCTTAATAAAATAAATAAAATTATCCCAAAATGTCAGTTTTCAAATTACAGTACAAACAAGGCATCAGAATAAATAACCTTCCACTTGCTGGGTATTACACAAAAGCAACAAAGAAAAGAAAAAAATGAGGAAAAAAATAAACTCCTTAATCATAAAAGTTAGAACAGATATAATGTTCACACTTCCAAGCATACATAGTCTCCCAAAGGCAACTGATATTGTACAGAAAAATCATTATAAAGAAACAGAGAAAGGCCGGGCGCGGTGGCTCACGCCTGTAATCCCAGCACTTTGGGAGGCCGAGGCGGGTGGATCATGAGGTCAGGAGATCGAGACCATCCTGGCTAACAAGGTGAAACCCCATCTCTACTAAAAATACAAAAAATTAGCCGGGCGCGGTGGCGGGCGCCTGTAGTCCCAGCTACTCGGGAGGCTGAGGCAGGAGAATGGCGTGAACCCGGGAAGCGGAGCTTGCAGTGAGCCGAGATTGCGCCACTGCAGTCCGCAGTCCGACCTGGGCGACAGAGCGAGACTCCGTCTCAAAAAAAAAAAAAAAAAAAAAAAAAAAAAAAAAAAAAAAAAAAAAAAAAAAAAGAAACAGAGAATAGTTGGTTCTTCAAGGGCAAATTTCCAAAGACACTGGCAAAAATATTTTCTCAACATGTGTGGCACCCTGCAATGCTAAAATTGTATTTTTGGTATACTCAACTATCCTGTCAATAGGGCAAAGGTCTGATAGAAGCAAAAGGAAATAAATTAAGGAGAAAATGAAGTGAAGAGTGAGGTTAAGTAGCTTACCATTAACAGTTCTCAGAAAATACCAACAAAAATACACCACCATGGAAAAGAAGTTACAATAACAGTAGAATATACCAATATGCAACACCTCACCATGTGTTAAAAATTAGAAGGAGTGGCCAGGCGTGGTGGCTCATACCTGTAATCCCAGCACTTTGGGAGGCCGAGGCCGGCGGATCACGAGGTCAGGAGATCGAGACCATCCTGACTAACACAGTGAAACCCCGTCTACACTAAAAATACAAAAAATTAGCCGGGCTTGGTGGTGGGCGCCTGTAGTCCCAGCTACTCGGGAGGCTGAGGCAGGAGAATGGCGTGAACCCGGGAGGTGGAGCCTGCAGTGAGTGGAGATCCCACCACTGCACTCCATCCTGGGCGACAAAGCGAGACTCCGTCTCAAAAAAAAAAAAAAAAAAAAAAAAATTAGAAGGAGTATGGCAGTGAGTAGGGCTGGCTGCTGAAGCCTCCTAAATACAGTTTAGACTAGAGAGGCAGAAAAGAAAGAAGGATGGATGGATGGATGGATGGATGGATGGATGGATGGATGGGTGGATGGATGGACAGAGAGATGACTGATTGATTGATTGATTGATTGATTCATAATAGACAGACAGATTGAAGAAGGGGCCATATTAGCAGCAAGTACACTGTCTCTGTGGAACCACCTAATGAGAACACCTTTCAGATGTGAAGTTTAGAAGACTGCCTAGATCTTCCCACCTCACAAACACCTCTGCTAATATACCTAAGGCATGAAGACCCAATTCATTCAGTATTGAGCATTAGCAAAGGAGATGGAACAACACTGATATGCGGTTACTATAAGAAAAAAAAGAGCAGTAACACTTACCAACAGACAAAGAGCACAAGAATTTCTTCAATGACAGAATGAAAAGTCTAACCAAAATTTTTGTCATTAGTTTTGTAAAATAAATGAAGCAACTGCCTTTAAAAGAAAGATCATGGGCTGGGCGCAGTGGCTCACACCTGTAATCCCAGCACTTTGGGAGGCCGAGGCAGGTGGATTACAAGGTCAGGAGATCGAGACCATCATGGCTAACATGGTGAAACCCCTTCTCTACTAAAAATACAAAAAATTAGCCGGATGTGGTGGCACGTGCCTATAGTCCCAGCTACTTGGGAGGCTGAGGCAGGAGAATCGCTTGAACCTGGGAGGCAGAGGTTGCAGTGAGCTGCTGAGAATGCACCACTGTACTCCAGCCTGGGTGTCAGAGTGAGACTCCATCAAAAAAAAAAAAAAAAAAAAAAAAAAAAAAGATCATGAAGAAGAAACAGGAAGTCAAGAGGAAATGCTCAAATATAACCTGTCAGAGCTCAAGAAATAATAGCGTGAAATCACAGAAATGATAAAAAAAAGCTACAGAAAATAGAATAAGGAACATAAAGGCTAATTAAAAAAAGGAGAACAAAATAAAATGAAAATAAAGACTTGAAAAGAATGAGAGACTAGATGACGGATACAGAAGACAGGCAAAGTAGATACAACAAACGTATTTGGAGTGTGCTATTTATGTCCCTCTAAAATTCCTATGTTAAACCCTAACTTCCAAGGTGATGGTATTAGGAGATGGGACCTTTGGGAGGTGATTAGGTCATGTGGGCAGAGCCTTTAAGCATGGGACTACCGCCCTCATAAAAGAGAACCCGAAGGTTTCTTTGCTCCTTCCATTACGTGAGGATACAGTGAAAAGACAGAATCTATGAACCAGGAAGCAGCCCTCACCAGACACAGATCTGCCAGTACCTTGATCTTAGACTTCTCAGCCTCCAGAACTGTAAGAAATAAATTTCTGTTGTTCATAAGCCACTTAGATTATGATAATTTGTGATAGCAGCCTTAACAGAAGAAGACAGAGTACTTAAAAAGGAAAAACAGAGAGACATAAAGACAACTTAAAGATATAAGCTCCCCAAAAGTCTTTGAAATAAAATAATACTATACATATTGAAAGGTACACTGGAGGCAAGGAAAAACTAACCCAGTGTAGACAACCCAGACAGTTATTGAACTTCAAATGGTAAAGAAAGAATATGTAAGGTAGTCCAGCAAAAACAGTAAATTACTTATAAGCATGAAAATCAGATTTCTCTACAGTTGCATTTAACACCATAAAACATGTATTAACAGCACCATCTACAAGATCCTCAGAAAAAGAAAGTTTGAGTCAAGTTGTCCTTTAGGAATAAAGGCAACAAACAGCTTTTACTTACAAAAATGATTTAATCTTTCTTGACGACAGTAGTAGGTGGTCTTCAGCCAAATAAATATGACTGGGGAAATAATAGAAAAGATTTGAGGGTTGGGATGACCAAAAAAGAATGTTAATATTATGTGCTCTGCCAAGCAGAACTGGTAAAATTTTTAAAAATGCGAAGGAGGGGAAAAGAAATTAGGAAGTTGAAAATGTTTGTTGATTATTTTACTAAAATTCCTGGAAATCAAGTAATATCATTAAAGCAGATCAAAAAAACTGATAGAAGTACAAACATAGTTTACAAAAGGTTAACAACTAAATTATAAAGATAGCCAATAGAATAAATATGTCACCTTCACACATATCAGAAGTATACTTAAAACAAAGGGAAGTACACAGACAACATAATGAAAGACTGTTAAAGAACATAAAGCAAACATGAAAGCAAAAAATTTAACATATGGCAGCACTCAGAACAAACATACCTGCTATATCAGTATCAATCAATTAAATTTACTTGTTAAAATCAAAGATATTTAGATTGAATGAGAAAGTAAAACCAAGCTCAATACTGTTTAAAAGAATAGCTAGAACAAACTGATTCACAATAATTAAAATTAAAATGTGGAAAAAGATATACTGGCAAAACAGAAAAGAATCCAAGTAGATGGTCTTATTTTTCATATTAGACAAGCAAGAATTTAGGCCCAAAATGATGCAAAAAACAACATTGTATAACTCAAGAGAGTGTAATTCACAAAAAATTGTTATGAATAGCAAAATGTTCACAAACCTGAAATTACAGGAAATAAGAGACAGAAACACACTAGTGAGAAGAGAGTAATTCTCTTCTCTCAAGCTATGAGAATAGAGTAGCATCATTAATGTGTTATGGATGTTTGATATACCAAAAATACTTTATATTAGAAATAAAAAGACCTATCTTCTTTTCAACAATCCATATTTATGGATTTATGGAATATTTATTAAAATTGATAACATATGAGGCTATAAAGAAAATTTCAGAAATAGGCAAATTCTAGAAATAACAGCGAAAACATACTCTTAATATGATACATTAAATATAGAAATTGATAAAACTGGAGAAAAATAAAAATTTTCTCATGGTAATTTTAAAACCCCCTCCAAAACAATTCCCTCTTCAAAGAGTTATGCAATCTGATATATCTGAATATATAATATTAATGGAAACATCATACCTGAATTCATGAGCTATAGCTAAAGCACTGCTCAAAGGAAAACTCAGAGCATTTAATTTTTATTAAAAAATTTAAAAGAATAAAGAAAATAAGGAAATTGAGTTTCTGAATGAAATTTATAGAAAAGAACAAAAAATCAATGGAAAAGGAGAAGAGGGTAGTTAATATTTATGGAGTTAGGGAAAAAATAGAATAAATACATTTTAAAAATTATTTTTTAAGAAAAATATTTAATGTATGAAGCACAGCTAAACTATTCAAGGAAATATGAACAAACTACAAACATGAAAATAAGAATTTAAAAAGCCACAAAAACAAAGAAAAATAAAAAAGCCAAAAGAGACTATTTTATTCAGCTCTATGCCAAAATAAATTTAATCTGGATGAGATATGTAATTTTCTAGTAATGTATAATTCACCAAAACTGACCCCAAAGGATATAGAAACTCTAAATAATCTGATTTCAACAAATGAATTAGAGAAATGTGCCAATTATTAATACTCTGAAACCTCTGGCCTTGGAAGTTTTCTAGGAAAATTCTACCACATTTTTAAAGAACAGTGAATTCCAGCATTTTAAAATAGCCCCAGAACAAGGAAAAATTTTAAAAAATTATTCTTTCCTCTACAAAAAAGAGTAACACTAATATCAAAACTTTATAAAGACTGCAGGAAACAAAAACAGCTGACGAATCTTAGGTATGAATATCGGTGAAACATTCCCAGAAGCACTTGAACAAATAATTCGTTATATGAAATGTGACTTATTCCAGGGAAAGCAAGAATGGTCAAATATTGTAAAACCATTAATATAATTTATATGAATATATCTAGAGATACAGCACAAGATAATTTCCATAGATGAAAAAGGTTTTTGACCAAAAAAAAAAATCACTTGATTAAAAAAAAATAAATCATTTGATTAAATAAAAAATCACCTAAAAAAAAAAGGACTACAGTTGAACCTTGAACAACATGGGTCTGAACTCCAAAAATCCACTTTTATGCAGATTTTAAAAAATAAATATACATAAAAATTGCTTGGAGATTTGCTGTGCAGACTAGAAATATAGAAAAATTTAAGAAAAACGTGTGTCATGAATACATGAAATATGTGTGTTGATTGGCTATTTAGGTTATCAGTATGGCTTCCAGTCAAAAGTAGACTATTAGTACTTAAGTTTTTGGTGAGTCAAAAATTATATGCAGATTTTCAACAGCACTGGGGTTTGGTGCCCCTAACCCTCTAACCCCATTGTTCAAGGGTCAACTATAAATGTGGAGTCATGGTAATAAAGGGCTTTGTGTAACAAAAAACTCAACAATAAAATGGCTTTAAAAACAATTATGTTGGCCGGGCGCGGTGGCTCACGCCTGTAATCCCAGCACTTTGGGAGGCCGAGGCGGGCGGATCACGAGGTCAGGAGATCGAGACCATCCCGGCTAAAACGGTGAAACCCCGTCTCTACTAAAAATACAAAAAATTAGCCGGGCGTAGTGGCGGGCGCCTGTAGTCCCAGCTACTTGGGAGGCTGAGGCAGGAGAATGGCGTGAACCCGGGAGGCGGAGCTTGCAGTGAGCCGAGATCCCGCCACTGCACTCCAGCCTGGGCGCCAGAGCGAGACTCCGTCTCAAAAAAAAAAAAAAAAACAATTATGTTTATTTTTCTTTCTCAAGTAATAATCGGAAGTTGTTGTTCAGGGGAGTAGTCTGTTCCACGAAGTGATTCTGGGACCCAGGTTCCCTCCATCTCATGGTCAGCCATCCCTGAAGGCCTTGTTGTCCTTTACATAGTTGAGGCTGGGTTGCCATCACTTCTGGTTTCCTGCCAGCAAGAAGGGAAAAGAAAGGATGTGGAAGAAATGGCAAGTATCACTTTTACTTACGTTACAATGGCAAGAACATGGGCACACATGAATCACTAGGTGATACAAGTAAGGCTTAAATACAAGCGGGGCTGAGAAATGCGTGTCTTAAGGTGGTGTTCACAGGTCCAGCTACAACTCTAGGACTGTACAGATGGATACTTCATTAACGTAATAAAATACAGCCAACCGAGACCAAAAACCATTATCATGCTTTATGACAAAATTTTAGAATCCCAGAAGTCAGAAACAAGAAAAAGATGATCACTGATAAAATTTAAAGCTGATCTCTAGGTACAATCCAAAGCGATTAGACGAGTTACAACCAAATTAAATCTATACAAATTTGGAAAGAGGAAAACAAAGGAATTATTTACTACAGAAGCTATGATTATACACCTGGAAGATAAAAGATAATTAACTGAAAAACAACTACAAGCAATAAAAGATGAGTAAAATAGAATTCAAAATCAACATATAGAAATCACTAACAACAGTGATGAAAAAGATAGAATACCAAGAGATAAAGCTGATAAAGTTGATGTGCAAGATTTATATGATGATTTAAAGCACCATTAGAGGAAACAAAGGGAATTACACAACTGAAAAAGTAATATCATAATTTTGAGAATAAATTTCGAGATCATAAAGACAGCAATTTAATTTGAAAATGTAATAAAATTCTATTTTTAAAACACCAGCTGTTTGAATAAAACAAGTTAATCTGGAAGTTTATAAAGAAAAAAGAAGAAAAGAATATTCAGAAAAACTTTTAAATAGGAAAACAGCTTAGCAATTTCAGTTATTAAAGGTAGTTTAGAAATTCTAGATGTTAAAACATATAGTCCCTGAATACTGGCACATAAATAAACAGACCAAAGAGATTGAACAGAAAATTCAAAACTATTGCTCAACATAGAGAAGAATTTAGTGTATAATAAGGGTAATATCTTACATCAGTGGGAAAAAGATAGTCAATTCAATAATTAAGTCATATAAAGAAAAAATAAACTTCTTACTACAAGCCAATTCCAGATGAATCAGAGATTTATGTGATATTAAAGATAATACAAAAGTACAAAAAATCCCAGGAGATTTCCTTTATAATCTTGGAAGGGGAAAGCCTTTTCTAATTATGACTAAAAATCCAGAAGCCACGAAGAAAAATGAACTAGAAAAATTCAACCAATTCTTCAGAAAATAACAAACAAAAAAACAAAAATAGAAAAAAAGATGATACTCAGAGTCAAAATACAAATGATATAATTCTGAAACATTTTTTACTTTATATCACAGGAAAAGGTGCAATTTAGATGAAGCCTATAGAAATAAATAATAAAAAGATCAACAATAAAATATTTGAATGTTGAAAAAAATAAAAGATACAAATCATGTATAGAGGAACATCACTCAAATATATGAAAATATGTTACTTCACTCATAATAAGAAAAGCACAGGTTAAAAATTTGCTAATGTATTATTTTGTATTTATCACATTGGCAAAATGCCAAAGGCTGACAACATGCTCTATTGGTAAGGCTGAGGAAAAAGGAACAATCTCATATAAGCCTGGTAAGAGCCGAACTAAGCACAATCCCTATACAAGGGCAATTTGACAATGCTGATCAACATTCATAAACTTGTACTCTAACCTAGCAATTCCAATACTGGGAAATTATCCTACTGTATAAAATTATGCATATATAATATTCTTTGCAGTATTGTTTATAATATCAAAAGATTTGAAACTAGTCAAATATACATGAATCAGGTAATTGTGAAATATACATATATTATGGTACTTCAGTGCAAGGAAATGATATGCAGCTATAAAAAAATTAAGAAATGTCCCTATGTATGTATATATGGAAATAACTCTATATTATGTTAAGCAAGAAAAAAATCAAGAGGCAAAATATTTATAAAATGTGCTACATTTTTTGTAAAAAGTAGGAGAATAAGAATCTATGTTTATTTTAGGTTTGTATATGCAGAAAAAACTCTGGAAGGACACATAAAAAACTAGTAACAGTAGTTTTCATGCAGAAGGGAGGGGGAGTAAAAGGAGCTGGGAAGATGGGGATGTAGGAAGGAAATCTCTTACTATGTACTCATTTACTCTTTCAGATTTTTGAACCATACGAATATATTACAAATGGAAAACATGCAATCCATTTAAGGTCGAAATTTAATTTTAATTTACTGCTCTTGTTATAAGGAATTTGAGAAGATGTAAGATATTTTAAACCAAATTTAGCCTCTAAGACGTACGTGAACTCAGTCATCAGACATGAAACACGCAACTGAACATCACATGGCCATTGTTCCCAGAAGCTCATAAAAGTACCATAAAATTGTTTTTACTTGGGCATTAGATTACCTCCTTTTTTAAGCAGGAATCACAGTAGTGTGGGATTTTCTTTCTGAAAGCATAGAATATTAATACACATAGCTTCAGTGGTGGAAAAATGGGTATTTTTACTGTTCACAAGGTAGGTGAAAATCCTATCTCCCCAATTATCACTCTTTAGCAGAGACTAATTGGGAAGAAAGCCAAGAATAGGAATGCAGAACAGAGAGGAAAAAAAGTTCTCTCAGCAGAGAAACAGTGGGGCTTGATAGCTTTTCAATGATTTTATTCATCAAAATAGAATCATCTTGTCACAACATTAATTATCTACAATTTACTTTCATAAAGCAAGGAACACAGGCTTTCTCCATAAATTATTATTTTCCAACTTTCATCCTATCTCTTGTCCTGCAGTGGCAAGATTGGGTAAAGGAGTGTGGGGTGTGGGAGTGGGGAGGAGATGACAGATGAAAGAGCAAAAGAGAGAGAGTTTCAGCGTGGAGAAGGCCGTTTTACAAAATAAAAACAAAAACAGGCTGGGGCGCGGTGGCTCACGCCTGTAATCCCAGCACTTTGGGAGGCCAAAGCAGGTGGATCACAAGGTCAGGAGATGGAGACCATCCTGGCCAACATGGTGAAACCCCAACTCTACTAAAAATAAAAATAAAAATAAAAAACTAGCTGCGTGTGGTGGCGCACGACTGTACTTCCAGCTACTCGGAAGGCTGAGGCAGGAGAATCGCTTGAACCCGGCGGGGCAGAGGTTGCAGTCAGCCGAGATCGCGCCACTGCACTCCAGCCTGGCAACAGACAGAGACTCCGTCTCAAAAACAAAACAAAACAAAACAAAAAAACCTTGCTCTCCTCATGTAGCTACAAGTTCTGTGTAATGTGTGTAGAATTTTATTTCAAAATATCTTAAGGCTTTTCTTCAAACAATGAATTAGAAATATGTATGTATCTACTTTTGGTGAGTTAAAGAAAAGTCACCAGAATTTTATTTGAGAGAGAGAATCATAGTAAGTAATTTCTTTTTTTTTTTTTTTTTTTAGACGGAGTCTCACTCTGTCGCCCAGGCTGGAGTGCAGTGGCACTATCTCGGCTCACTGCAAGCTCCACCTCCCAGGTTCACGCCATTCTCCTGCCTCAGCCTCCCGAGTAGCTGGGACTACAGGCGCCCGCCACCACGCCTGGCTAATTTTTTGTATTTTTAGTAGAGACGGGTTTTCACCGTGTTAGCCAGGATGGTCTCGATCTCCTGACCTCATGATCCGCCTGCCTCAGCCTCCCAAAGTGCTGGGATTACAGGCATGAGCCACCGCGCCCAGCCCTGAATCATAGTAATTTTTCTAACCCCCCAAAAAATGTCATGAGTCTTAGTAGTGAGCTTTCAGGATTTAATGGAAAGCCACTAAAAAATCAGAGTATACAAAAACACTAGAAAGGCATAGCCTGGGTCCATTTAATACAAGGACAAATAGTCCTTAATACCTTAACTGTCTAGTAGAAATCACTATCTTACAACTTATTTATATTGTGTATAACATCTTCCTAAATTTTCAAGAAAGGATTTCATTGTGTTTATATTTATTCCAGAAGCATGTAATATAATAGAGAGAATTCAAAAAACTAGTTAAATTTTAGAGTTTTAAGCTAAAACATTCACAGCATAGAATTCCTAAACTAGATTTCAGACCCATATGTAGAGATAGTCACATCTGACCATCTGACTAGACCTTTGTAGAAATATAGGGCAACTTAAGCCAAGAAACTACTTTGCATAAATCTGATATGTGTCAGAGAAAGGAAACTCATTGGATTGGTTGAAGCCAAGAAGTAACAATTAGGAAGCATTGGAGATTCATTTAAGTAGGGTAGCAACAGTAAACTGAGACCCTAGAATGCTAGCACATCTTACAAGAGCCAATGAAGGTTTTAGGCAAAATGTGTGGAGGGCAAAGTGTTTAAGAAAAATTAATTAGGCAACATTGTACAAATCAGACAAAAGCAGAGAGATACTAAAAAGTAGGAAATAATCTCTTTTCCTCTGTGGCAATAAGCTAAGAGCACAAATATTTGAGTATGCATAATTTATTGAATATGTCTCAAAATTCAGATTCCTGACCAAAGGAACAAATGAATAGAAGAGAATGCTGCCCACAGCTTTATCTATTTCAGGTCTACAGACCAGTTTCTTGTACTCCCCTGGGAATATAGACATAAACTTGAGGATATGGTTGCTTTAATGTCTCTCTATAAGGTCATCAACTATGTGCTAATAGCTCATACATTTAAGCAAGACATTTGTAACTCATTTTAAATGGTGCAATTGTCCAATAAATTGTTTGAAACTTTTAAAAATCTTCAGTGTTCCATAAAAATAAAAGTCCTTTCAGAATAATTGAAACCAGCAATGCAAAACAAATGTATTTCCTTGATAAATTTAGTTTTAAGTGAGCTTTAATTTATATGCTAAATTTTTCAATTTAGTTCAAGTTTTGGCAGAGACATGTTTATTTTAATTGTTGGCCTTCAAAATTCTAGCTTAGGAATAAACATCTGCTCCTTTCCAATTTTCTGCATAAAATGAGTAAATTTCTATAAGTTGTAAATGAGGGCTGTAGACACAGTATATTGCTTTTGGAAAGATTACAAAATTACAGCAGACACTTTATGTGTATTCTGTATGACAGATTTTATAGCATGGTATGCTATACCCTTTCGTCTTAACTAAGGTTCTTAGATCTATTTATATTTAAGCTATGTATTGATAGAAACAACATACTAGATAAGCACCTAAATGTTGTGCCTAAATAGCCTTTTTTGGAACACTTGTTGGGCTCCCTTATAAATTTTGAACTCTTCTCTTTGCTTTATAGAGATTCACAGAACAAATGGATTCCTTCTGCAAGACCAAAATTTCTCAATGAAAAAGCATAAACACAGTCTCAGCCCATCTATACTGCAGGCCTTGTAAACAATTTGAGAAATGTTACTAATAATAGACAATGTACATTTCTCCAGCTATAGCCTTGGAGGAAATCATCAAAACTTTCAGAAATTAAAATTATAGCTGTTGCAGAATCATGGGGTGTGACAATAAGATTTTTAAAAATAAATTAAAAAATAAAGTAATAGCTGTTGAGACATCATAAGAAGTTACATCCACCTTTTGCAATACTGAATACTGAGAAAATCCAATTCCAATTATTAAAATGTTTTCCTCCTTCAACAATAATAGCAACATTCATGAGGGCACTGCTAAGCATGCTTGTAGCCATTAGAACCAGCCAGTCATAGATACTGGCTAGCAATGACCAATGGCCATTAATATGATTGAAAATAACAATTAACTAGGACTAAGCTGATATGAAGATATAAAGCCCATATAGTATCCATACCCCTGAAAAGTCTGCAAAAAAAAAAAAATGTTATGGGAAATTTTAGGTAGTTTTTCCTTTATTCTATCTTTTAAAGTAAGTATTACCCAATTGCCACATAAAGGTGTCTAGCTGTGCTAACGTGCATGAATCCATGAAGTGCATGGAATTCCATGAGGTGCGTGATTCCATGAAGTGGCATGTCTGCTTTAGAAAGTATCAGGGTTATCATAATAGATGTCAAAGGACCAAGAAATAGAGACTTTAATGAAGCCAGTCAACTTTCAAGATGCCGACAGCCATTCAGGAGCCTAAATAAAGATCTCTGTCCAACTGTTTCCACTGCTAAAGATCAACTGTATACTGTAAGCCCAGTGACAGTAGAAAATACCAGAGTCCTGAGAAAAACTCCAGAGAATCTCCTCTATGTCAGTGATTCTCAAACTTTCAGGTGAATAAGAATCACCTGGTAAGCTTCCTAAAACACTTTTTGGGCCCATCTAATAAAATTGTAACTCAATAGGTTAGGTGGGGCTCATAAATTTACAGTTCTAATAAGCTCACAGTTGTTCCAACAAGGCTGCTCCAAGGAACACTCTTTGAGAATCACTGCCTGACCACTACTGAATCAGAATCTGCACTTTACAAGATTGCCAGGTGATTTGCATGCACATTGCTAAAGTTTGAGAAGCATTACTCTGGGAAATAAGTAAATGGTTGTTTTGTATTGATTTTTTTTCCTTCTTTTTCTGTTATGTTGGAATAGAGAGATGGGAAAAAGGGAAGGCAGCTTCAAAAGAAACCAAAACTAAGTGCTTAAACTACACGCTTTGTTGAGAAGCAAATCTATTTGACCACCTTGCTCATCTTTCTCAATAAATGAATCATTCTCGCCTTTCTTTACCTACCTCTCCATCCTTACTATACCTTACCCAGGGCTCACATTACCTCGGGTTCTGCTTGAACTTCAGGTCTGTATGTTATGGATTTACCAGGCAAATCTAGATTAATATAATTGTTCCCTCTTGAATAAAAATGATTTTGACTCAAACAAAGAATTAAGTTCGGAATATGTATGTTCATAAGAGCTTTTATGTCAAGAAATTAACAAGAAATTCACAGAAAATCCTTTGTCAGATTGATTTGGGATTTAGAAACATGCTCACAAGAGTGAGAAATGTTCACACAGTGGCACTCCAGAGTCACCCTAGATCTTAGTGATAGGGGAAGGAAGGACAGCTTCTTTGATGACTGTGCTGTATGTAATTTTACGTTACATATAATTACTTGGACTAGACCAAATGTGCCCCCAGTTGAGCCACACAGAAGACTAAGTATATGCTCTCACTACATGTAATGAATCGTCACAGAGAAGATAAAATGTAAGATATGAATATATCAAGCCTTTGGCAATAGGAAGTATCTGAATTCACATGACTAATAATACTCCCTACTTGCTGATTCACACTACTGTAGGTAGTTTTGCTCCAGCAGCGAAAAGCGCATCTGCTACTAAGCTACAGAGAAAAAGAAGCTCCAAGTCCAACCACAAACTGCAGAAATGTGATTTAAACTAGCAAATGTCCCTCATTCTACCACAATAACCCATCTACTCTTGCTCTAGTTACTTGAATCTACCATAAAGACCTCAGCCCCCACCCAATTATTTCCATAGTCAATGAGCCTGTTACTAAATCTAAAACCTGACAGATCCATGAGTAGATTTTAGGTTGGTTAAGTACCAGGAACAAACAGGGAGGGCATAGGAAACCATGGTGCTTCATCTCATTTTCTCTGACAAATTTCATGTACTGGAGCAGAGCACGGACAGTGAGCATAGAATCGAGGTTCTAATGCCAGTTTTTCTACCAGGCACCCTGATGCAATTCACTTGGCCTCCTTCATTCCATTCCTTCCAAAATCAGGCTATGTTCTCATTAAGATGCCTCAATATCTAGGAGTTTGTGATTATGTGGGCATATTCATGCCGCTGGAAAGCCAAACAAACAGCTGTTCAGCAGCAAATGGAAAACAACAATCTTGGATGAGATCGGGAGCTGTAGTTTCACCAGCTCCACACAAACCATCCTCATCCTAGGTTAGGCTTTGGTGCCTTGGGCTGCTCAGAAACTGGGACACTGAATAAGGTTTGTTCATGTAAGCATCCTTCCTTACTTATTCAACTAAAAGTCTATCAAGAATACCACCCAGACACTAACATCAGGATTCCCCTCCACTTCAGGATCAGGAATTAAAATATGACCCAGAGAGTAAAAGCTGCCTCCAAAAAGTCTGCAACTGCATGAAATGTAAAGCCCTCACCCACCCTCATTCCCACCCCATCCTGCACATTTTTCTTAAAGGCAAATCAGATGTTCTCTTTTTTAAGAGACATGGGCAATTCTGTGTATAAATATCAGGAGAGTACCTGCATGGGGCCAAGGAGGTTTTATCTTACAAGAACCACCTATATCGACTATGTCTAGTTGATGTATTTAAAGGAAGATTAAGAGCAGAAAACCAAGGAAAGGTTTTCGTATTTTTATGAATAAAAGCCAAATAAACCTTCCAGAACTGGATGTCTGTCCTTTCTTTTTCCAGCATCCCTGTTCCCTTCTTCTGGTAACAGCCACAGTTTTTATTTGGGAAGCACCTCTGCCTCTCCCACTCAGTAAACCTAGGTTGTCAGTCCCAGGGTCCCTTTTTCTCTCAGAATTGTATGTTTCTGCCTGAATCAGTTTGCACAGATAATTAGAACTGACAATTAAAAGGTGAAAAATTTTTTTTTTAAAAAAAGGAAGGAAAAAAGCATAAAATACCTTTTTAAAGTTTTGCTTCAAGGATGGACCTGTAAAATTAATGTAGTTGAAAGCTGCCAAAGACTTGCAGGAGCCTCTTCTCAGAAAGAAAGACTCAGGCATGAAGTGCAAACACCACACTTTATAGTGGGTAAGAAAAAGAAAATCGCCAGAGTATTGGGAGTACTTCATCAGAGTACTTCATCAAAGTATTGGGAAGAAATCAGAGGTGGAGAAAAAGACACAACTTGGGCAACTAAACAATATGTTTTTCTTACTATCAGAATTCTGATTTTTTTTAATATGCAAAGGCTAAAAAATTACATCTTCACCGTCTTCTTTGCATCAAGGTATATTCATGTGACTATGTTGGGCCAGTGATTTAAAACAACAAGTGTTACCTGGGCTTCTAAAAGGGCTCTGTAAAGAGGTCTGATTTAATAAATTGAAGATGTCTAATTAGATCTTGACTTGTTCTGAGAATTTTTATAATGAGGAAAAAAATGTTATTAACTCAGAACCCCATTTTAGTAAATGATGAATGCAAGAACTGTCATGAGAAATGAAGAACTGCTTGCAAATATACAAATAAAACACATAATAAGTAACTCTCCCAGTGATATTAAATTATTTAATCACTCATACCCTACAGGTTATATCACAGTAATTACAATGACGGAAGTCAGTGGGTCCTAACCAATGAGAAGACTGATTTTTCCACATTTAGGACCATTTAGAGGACTATAGGACATTCAAGGTTTAGCAGGAATCTGAGCTTTCACAGCATCTTTTGTGTTCATAAATCTTTGTTTAACCTTGGTGCTAAAAGCCAAACCCAAGGTTGTACTGTAACATATTATAATCTAGCTTTTCAGGAATTTCTGATGAAAACAAAGATTTATATTAACATTACAAGTGAATAAATGTTTCCACTTCTTTCTTTCATCTTTAGTTGATATGCTGCTTGCTAAAGAAGCCAAATTTTTGGAGGAAAATGTATTGCTTCATAACAGGTTCTATTCAACTAAAGCAGACAAAGACCCATGCTAATAACCCCGCTTTCTAACTTCCTAATTCTATACATTAGAATTTTCATGAAAACTTTCATTTCAGCCAGCATAACACCTTGCAAGAAGCAGGCAGTCAATAAATATTTGTTAAGATGATTTGAAGATATAAACACATTAGCTGAACATTATAGAAAGTTAGCCTAAGGGCTCTTCACTAAACGAAAATTACAGTGAAGCTTCCTCTTTTTAACCCTGCTACATATTTTTAACATGTTGTTTATTTCCAAGTGAAAGGACATAGCCTTGCTAGCTAAAAACACACCCTTCCCCACATCACTAGCATCCTGTAAATGGTCATAAATCACAATTGGTCCTTGTCATGAGAGAAACTGTGTGTGTCAGCTCGAGCTTGTCTGCCTTATAACAGCTGCAAGGATAAAATCAAACATCTCTAAGTGTTTTGGGGGAGAAATACTGCCACAGAGAAGCAAAGAAATATTGGGGGAGAAAAATTATAAGCATATTATACCTTTCTATGACAGTAGACTCCAGATCAGAAGTCAGGATGAGATTGGTCGACCCAAAGCACTGTAGTGACAGTACCGACATACACATTATTTGGGGCTGCATCACCTTTCTGTGCTGGAAGGACTAGTAACCATTTAAAAGACTTAAAACTGTAATTATTTGGGCAAACTATTGCAGACTGGAGAAAAATGCGATTCAGGTTGACTTTTAAGTGCCACTGTACTCCAGCCTGGGCAACAAAGAGTGAAACTCCATCAAAAAAAAAAAAGAAAGAAAGAGAGAAAGAGAAGGAAGGAAGGAAGGAAAGAAGAAAAGAAAAGAAAAATGTACAAGTCTTGTATTTCTCCAGCAGTACTTTACAGCAATGTTTAGAGTCCACATAAATTACAGAAGGGACAGAGTTAGGTACTGTTAGTGAATACTCACCTTCTGAAAACCGTGGAAGACTCCAGGAGTGTTGTATCATTTCCTTGGGATTAAAGACATTGCTTAGGTCTGCAACTAAATGATGCACAAAAGGAGGGCCCTCCAAAACTAACTCCTCTGCTTTCCTGACCCGGCTTCCCTTCCTAGCAAAAAGAAAGAGGCCCTCAAACTTAAAAGAAATTCCCTAAAGTTAGAAAAATATTATATATGTTCTTTCAAGACAGCTGGGAGTTGGTGGATAGATGGCATAGGGAAGAAACTGACTTGAAATTGATAACGGGATCATAATAAAGGATTAGAAATGTTCACTTCTATCTATTACTAGGGTTTCTACAAAATCCCAAGACTGTCATTATAGCTTTACTAATTGAAATGGTAGCCCACACACAACTAGACTACAGACACCTATAACAGATGTTTTCTTTGAGAAAGAAATTAAAACTACCAAAGGTTTGCCAGCTGAAGGATTTCAAATGCAGTTATAGGATCATTGGTCTCCAATGATTCAATTTGCAAAGAAAAGTCTCCCACACAACCCACACATTAAGTAAAGTGATATATACACCTTCTATTTCAGAACACCTTAAATTTTGGATGAATGGCCTTGAATTCTGGCTTAAATTGCTTCAGAGCCAGTAGTTTTCCAGAAAAAGAAAACTTCACAGATTTGGATCCTGTTATTTAGTACACTAAATCCACAGCACAAAGTCAACGTATCTGGATAATTAAATATACCTGTAACTAGTGATAGGAATTAAAATGGATTAAACTAGGAGCCCTGACTTCACTATTATTTGTGTTTTGTGAAATAATTTTTATATTGATAAGTGTAGCATATATAAGACTGCAACTTTCCTATCTCCCATGCATACACACACACACCTATGCACACTCTGAGAGGCAGTGTAGAATAATGAAAGGACCCCTGGGCTGAAGTCAGAAACAGCTCTGGTCCCAGCTGTCACTAACTTGCTGAAGAATTTGGGCATGTTGCACAACTGCTCAGGTTTCCATTTACACATTAACTTATTTAACAAACATTACTTGACACAGACCTACAAGAACACAAGTTTGCTCATCTGTAAAAGGAAGGAAAATAAGACCAGGTTTACAGAATTGCTGTTAGGATTATATAATGGGTATACTTTACACCCAAGACACATCAGGTCCATCCCTCTTTCTCCCCTAGTATCAGGTACTGTGTAAGGTCTGACACTTTGTCCCAGTGAGCACTGTGGAAGTACTTATCACCTTTGTCATCACCGGGTAAAGTTTTTTTCCCTCCTAGTTAGTAAAGCCAGGATCTTCTTTCTAGTACACAGATATATCCTCTGAACCAGCATATGCCTTGGCACATACTAAACACTCAATAGACCAAGTGCTGTGGCTCACGCCTGTAATCCCAGCACTTTGGGAGACCAAGGCAGGCAGATCACTTGACGTCAGGAGTTCGAGACCAGCCTGGCCAACATGGTGAAACCCTGTCTCTATTAAAAATGCAAAAATTAGCTGGACATGATGGCACATGCCTGTAATCCCAGCTACTTGGGAGGCTGAGGGAGGAGAATGCTTGAACCAGTGAGGCGGAGGTTGCAGTGAGCCAAGATAGCACCACTGCACTCCAGCCTGGGCGACAGAGTAAGACTTTGTCTTGAAAAAACAAACCAAACAAACAAAACACTTAAAAAATATTTTTGAATGTATACATTATCTTTTAATCCATTATCTTTTAATCCTTAAAAGAAATTTATGGATCAAGTATTACTTTTGCCATTTTACAGTTAAGGGGGGCAGAACAATTAGATAAATGCTGACTATAAATTGAGGTGACTTGTCCCTTCCAACTCCACAATTCTAAGCTTCTTATATTTCTCATATTTGATTATTATGTTATTCTTCTTAAATAATTGCCACTTATATTTATTGGCTAATGGTTGAAAAATAACAAGAGCTCAAACTATAAAATCAACTTTCAACCCCCCTATCTTTAAGGAAGATAAAATAGTTGAACTTAAAAAATAGAATGGTTTATAAGAAAACTTTATTCTCACACATACACAGAAACTATCTACATTAAGTTGTTCCTCAGTAATATGGTTTGGCTCTGTGTCCCTACCCAAATCTCATGTTGAATTGTAATCCCCAATGTTGGGACAGGGATCTGGTGGGAAGTGATTGGGTCATGGAAGTGGATTTCCCCCTTGTTGTTCTTGTGATAGTGAGTGAGTTCTCATGAGATCTGGTTATTTAAAAGATTTAAAAGTGTGTAGGCCGAGCATGGTGGCTCACGCTTGCAATCCCAGCACTTTGGGAGGCCACTGCAGGCAGATCACTTAAGGCCAGGAGTTTGAGATCAGCCTCGCCAACAGGGCAAAACCCCGTATTTACTAAAAATATAAACAGTAGCCTAGCGTGGTGGTGCATGCCTCTAATCCCACCTACTCGGGAGGCTGAGGCATAAGAATCACTTGAACCTGAGAGGCAGAGGGTGCAGCGAGCCAAAATCGCACCACTGCACTCCAGCCTGGGTGACAGAGTGAGACTCTGCCTCAAAAAAATAAATAAATAAAAGTGTGTAGCACTTCTCCTTTTACTCTCTTCCTCCTGCTCTGCCAATGTGAAGAAGGTGCTTGCTTCCTCTTCATCCTTCTGCCATGCTTGTAAGTTTCCTGAGGGCTCCCCAACCATGCTTCCTGTACAGCCTGCAGAACTGTGAGTCAATTAAACCTCTTTGCTTCGTAAATTACTCAGTTTCAAGTAATTCTTTATAGCAGTGCAAGAACAGACTAATACATTAAGAAGTTCTCCCAAGTAATTTCCCCAACTTAAATTTCCATACACTTTTCCCCCAATAAAAAGCTATTTAGTAAACAAATAACCAAGAGTGGTGTTAGAAATATGAGGCAATCATTTCTCTAAAACATTTCTTCAACAAAATTTGGGCTATTTTGCTTTAAGAACAGCAAGATGATCATGCCAAGTAACTTTCAGAAGAGAATTGTAGCCCCCTAGCCTGGGAATGAAAAAGACCTGGGTTAGATGCCGCAAATGTCCCTATGCCCCATTGGCTCTAGGTCATTATTTTCACACGTTCCCAGTCATAAAAGCCTACATAGCCTTCTATACAAAACACAAGCTTTACTAGATCACAAGTACATGTTACAGAATGATTGCCTCCTCATTGGCCTTCCTTATAAGACATATTTCCAAACTTCCATCTCCTCTCACTCTGCCCTCTCCAAAAGCAGCCTCTCCTTTACCACTTCTGCATCTTCTTCACTAAAGAAAAATTGATATATACTTGGGCACTCAGCAGCTATTACATTTTGTGACATCAAAAGACTCTCAAAAATTCATTTTAATTTAGTAATTTAACAATTCTCTAGACACAGAGAAGGGCTGAGATCAAAGTCATAAAGCATTTAGTGACAAAACCAGAAGGTGAACCCGTGTCGAATACCACATCAGATGATGTTTCTAGCATAGAGAGACTTCAAGAGAGAGAGCAAGATGATTCATAAATAAGGTATCACTATGGTACACAGAATATCTGTGTCACTACATCTCACCTTCCCACCACCTCAAAAGACAGAGTGGGCTGGGCACAATGGTTTACACCTGTAATCCCAGTACTTTAGGAGGCTGAGGTGGGTGGGTCCCTTGAGCTCAGGAGTTCGAGACCAGCCTGGGCAACATGGTAAAACCTCATTTCTACAAAAATGTTTTTTAAAAAATTAGCAAGGCATGGTGGCACACTCCTATAGTCCCACCTACTCGAGAGTCTAAGGTGGGAGGATGGCTTGAGCTGGCAAGGAGGAGGTTACAATAAGCCAAGACCTCGCCACTGCCCTCCAGCCTGGGCAACACAGTGACAGCCTGTCTCCAATAATAACAGTAATAAAAAGACAGTGATGTTGTATGCACTCTGAAACTACGGCAATTTATGACAGGACAGTCATAAATCCTGAAGACACATATCAGCCATTGATTATGTCATAAATACCTGAAAGTATCAAATTTTCCAAGGCAGTCAAAAAGAGCTTCATTCTTCCACAAGAGGAACCAGAACCTAGTGTATTCAAGAGAGGATTTCTACAGGAAAGCCGTCCCTGCCCAAGCAGCACCTACAATAAACATGTTTATGAGCAAACAGTTCAGAAAAACATATTGTGAGTCTTAGAAACAGCATATGCCTCATTTCATAGAGGTTGCTATGTTGCTAGGCATTCTTTTTTTTTTTTACTGCATTTTAGAGAAATAACTGTAAAACGAGGGTCTATAACCAGCATATAACACAATAAACAACAGCATCAACTTCTGTCCCCTTGTTGTAAACAGTTTCCCTATGCTTTAATTGGAAATGTAAATGTTAATGCCTTGTGTGCTTTCTCAAAATAGTTTTGGACAAATTATATTCCAAGAAAGATCTCTGTATTTGTCACCTCTATCAAAGGTCCAAAGATTATAGAATTTTCTTATCGTAAATCAAGGACTGCTCCCCTCAGCCCATAGAAAAGGATGAGCTACTTCCTATTTTTCAAGAGCTTTGGAATCCCTTTGCAGTAAGAGAGGAACTATGACAACAAAGTCCCTAAATGCAGCAAGATAGCACAGAGAGGGAGGTGTGGCATGCAGCGGCAGCAAGGGTGGTCACTATAGGCTTTGACCTGGAGATTAGCTAAGGCCTTTCTGAAGGTCAGCACCCAAAATAAACACAAGAAACAATAATAAGCTTTGCATAACTTCCCTGATGTTAAATATGTAACAGATCTTGGGTAATCGTCCAACCCAGGTTGTATCTTCAGAGATTCTTAACATACTCATAAAAAAACTGAGGTTTTCGGTTTTAAGATGAGCATTGTTAAATGCTATTTCCTATTCAGGTTCCAACCCCTCACAAAGATTTCACTACCTAGGGCTCTTTTTGGTCCTGAGCAAGCTTACACACCTCCCCACGCTGAGACATCCACTTCTCACCAACAGGTCAGGCCCAATATAATCACATTTAATTTACTTCGTGAAGTATGTGAACTACTACTATTCAAGCATAGTGGCTGTCCTATTTGTAGAACTTGTATCCATATCAAGGCAGCTGATTCTGCTTCCTTTTCTATTCTTCTTCCTGTCAAAATGCAAGTTTATAGTTATTGCCACTTTTTCAGTCTATTCTTTTATAAATTCTTCTCTCAAAAGAGATAGGTGGGAGTCAAACAGACCTGCAATTACATCATCTTATATTTTCTCAACTAAACTGTTTATATGTATATTTATATAAGTGTTTTAACTGTTTAACCTAGAATATAAAGTTCTTAAGGAAAATGTCTACTTCTTTTATACTATAGCAAGATACATGCTCAATACAATTTCCAAATCACCTTTAATACCAGTTAAGACCACAGTGAAAGTTGAAAGTTCTACAAATTATTAAATATATGAAAGCAAAATCATGCTTTTTCAATGAAAATCATCAGTACATTTTACCAAGTTGACTTTAGAAATTCTTCTATGACTCATTATGAAGAATTTAGATATGTTCATGGGGTAATTTCTAAAATGAGTTTCAACTACTTAGTGTTGCTATTCTCCAGTATATTCATATTCACATGGTCAAGCATGGGTGGCTCACACCTGTAATCCCAACAATTTGGGATGCCTAAGCAGGGGGATTGCTTGAGCCCAGAAGTTCGAGACCAGCCTGGGCAACATAGCAAGACCTCATCTCTTCAAAAAATAAATAAATTAGCTGAGTGTGGTAGTGTGCCCCTGTAGTCCCAGCTATTCAGGAGACTGAGGCAGGAGGATTCCTTGAGCCCAGGAGGTCGAGACTGCAGTGAGCTGTGATTACACCCCAGCCAGGGCAACAGAGCAAGACCCTGTCTCTGAAACAAAAACAAAAACAAATAAAAAGTATAGGAATAACCAATCTGAAGAACTAGATTCATCTCTGTAGAGAAGGGATTTTTTTACATACTTTTTCAAAGAATTAGCCACACCAGCACATTAAGCATCATGAAGATTAAAAAGAAGTAATTGCATAAGAAAAAAACACTTTAACTTATTAAAATTAACGGTTATTTTTATAAACAAATATATTTATAGAGTAAAAAGGAACAGATCTTTTTTTTTTTTTTTTTTTTTTTTTTTGAGACAGAGTCTCACTCTGTCACCCAGGCTGGAGTGCAGTGGCACAATCTCGGCTCACTGCAAGCTCCGCCTCCCGGGTTCATGCCGTTCTCCCGCCTCAGCCTCCCGAGTAGCTGGGACTACAGTTGCCCGCCACTGCGCCCAGCTAATTTTTTGTATTTTTAGTAGAGACGGGGTTTCACCGTGGTCTCGAACTCCTGACCTCGAGATCCGCCCGCCTCAGCCTCCCAAAGTGCTGGGATTACAGGCGTGAGCCACCGCGCCCGGCCTCAGATCTACTTTTATGTTAATTTCCATCACTTGCTTCCTACCCATTCACTGATGAGATAAATACAGTTGATTCTGTTTTTCACCTTTTAATTTATTCTACATAGACAGATAAAATTCCCCTTTGTCATTTGCTACTTTACCTCCTCTTTGGGCATTTATCCACTAAATAAACATCTACTACCTACTGCTGTCAAAAAGGGTGCAGAGGGCTCCAGCTTACTCTCTTTGGTTGGTTTCCCTTCTTACCCTAATCTCTGCTAGAGTGACCCAGGACTCCAACCTCAGTCTCATTCTCAAGCCATCTATGCCTCATTTGATAATCTCAGGCAGTCTCTTCGTTCACTCAGCATCTATTATGTGCTGATGGCTCCCATATTTACACATATTCCAGACCTCTTTCCTAAACTCCAGATTCATATATCTGGAGATTGTCTTCTCACCATCTACCCTTGGAAGTCTTATAGAATCTCAACTTTATAACAGGCCCAACACAAACTCTTGATCTTCTCTACCAAACCTGCTCATCATAGCCTTCCTTATTTCAGTTGATGGCAACTTCCTCCTTCCAATTAGAGAAACTATAAGCCTTGAAATCATCCTTGGAACCTCTTTCTGTCATATCCCACAACCAACCTGTCCACAAACCTTACTTGCCCTATCTTCCAAGTATAGCGCATCCACAATCTGATGAGTTTACATCGCGTTCATTGCTACCACCCTGATCCACACCAGAAAAATCACTCTCTCGGATCACCTCCCACCCTTGGCTCCCTTCAGTATGTATTCAACATCTTGGCCCAAGGCGTCTGCACACGCTCTCCTGCTGTTACTTGATCAGTCTTGGAATTTTCCTGCCTTAAGGACTTTAGAGTAAATGTTCCCTCTGCCTCCAATGCAGTTGTGTAGTTGCCCACATGACTAACTCCTTGAAGTCCTCAAAGTCTTTACTCAAATAGCATCTTCCTAATGAAGCGTACTCTGACACCCCATGACTAACTCCTTAAACTCCTCCAAGCCTGTATTAGTCCATTCTCATGCTGCTATGAAGAAATACCCAAGACTGGGTAATTTATAGAGGAAATTTATAAATGACTCACAGTTCAGCATGGCTAGGGAGGCTTCAGGAAACTTACAATTATGGTGGAAGGGGAAGCAAACACATCATTATTCACATGGCAGCAGGAAGGAGAAGTGTGGAGTAAAAGGAGGAAAAGCCCCTTAGAAAACTATCAGATCTCAAGAACTCACTCATTATCAAGAGAAAAGCATGGAGGTAAAACCCCCATGATTCAATTACCTCCCACAGGGTCCCTCCCACGACACGTGGGGATTATGGGAACTACAATTCAAGATGAGATTTGGATGGGGACACACCCAAACCACATCAAAGCCTTTACTCAAATATCACCATCCTAATGGGGCCTATTCTAATAACCTATTTAAAGTTACAAACAATCCCTAAACCTGGCACTTGTGATTCTTCTTGACCTGTTCTAGTTTATTTCCATTCATCACCCTCTATATAGGATGTCTTTCCTCCATTAAAGAAGTGAAATTTTTATTGGTTTTTATCAATTTATATATCCCAAATGTTCAGAAAAATAGTTAGCCATAATAGGTACTTAATGAATATTCATTGAATAGGTTGGTAAGTTAAAGTATATAGCCCCCATCTTAAAGAACCTCCAAGAAAATTAGGAAAGAGATAAATAAAGAAATAAAGCAATGATTACATTTCAGAAGAGCTGCAACAGAGGCCAGCATGGGAAAAGCGGGCAAGAAGAAAAAGTATGCAGTCTCTCTGACATTTTTCCAAACAAGGGGGCTTTACACTTGTTTAGAAAAGCCACTTCCTCATAGATAAATTCTTATTGAACTTTATTATAAATACTATAGAAATTAAAGAATAATAATGTACTAAATTATAATTGTTTACCCACGGATGTTTCTCTTCTCTCATTTACCTGGTATTATCTGAACAGGAAGCATGAACAGCTAGCACATAGGTTGTGAGAAAGCTGTAGTTTCACTTACCTAGTGTAGTACTCAGAATAACACCCCACCAAACATGGTCACATCCAAAGCCCTAGAACCTATGAATGTGTTATGTTACATGGCAAGTGGTAAGAAAGGTGCATATGGAATTTAGATTGTTAATCATGTGACCTTAAAACAAGGAAATTATCCTGGATTATCTGGGTGGGCCCCATGAAATTACAAGGATTCTTGAAGTGGAAGATGGAGGCGGAAGAGAGAGTTAGATAGAGATTTGAAGATGTGAGTCTGCTGGCTTTTAAGATGGAGGAAGAAGTCACAAGTCAAGGAATGAAGGCAGCCTCTAGAATCTGGAAAAGGCAGGAAAACAGATTGTCCCCTGAACCTCCAGAAGGGAAGACAGCCCTCCTGACACCTTGATTTTAGCCCAGTAAGACAGACTTTTGACTTTTGACCTCCAGAACTGTGAGATAAACAATTTGTGTTGCTTTAAGCCAAATGTGTGATAATTTGTTACATCAGCAACAGAAAAATGAACATATAAACTGAGCATACAAAACAAAAATTGAAAACTATCATTCTCTCTTCTTGTTTACCCCCAACCCAGTCTTCAGAAGGTAAAAGCTTTAGTGAATCTACACGTACCTGTGTATTTTACATACTTGTATAGCTTTTGTAAATAAAAATATAATCATAGTGTATATATGTGTATAGTCGGCAAACTGGTTTTTTTAGTCTATGACATGATGGACATATTTTCTCATCAGTACACACAGATTTCCTCATTATGTTAATTCTAAATTGTCTTTGTCCATTTGGGCGGATCTAGGACAATATCGTTGACGGGTAGCTTACAAACAGCAGAAATTCAATTCTCATGGCTCTGGAGACTGAGAGGTCCAAGATCAAGGTACCAGCAGATTGAGTGAGGGCCCACTTCCTCACAGATGGTTCCTTCTCACTGCGTTTCGCATGTCCTGGAAGGGACAAACAAGCTCCGTTGGCCCTTTTATATAAGGGCACTAATCCAATCATGAGAGCCTTACCCTCATGATCTAATAATCATCTTCCAAAGGTCCTACCTCTTAATACCATCACTTTGGAGATCAGGTTTCAACATATAAATCTGGGGGAGATAGAAACATTCAAACAAGAGCACACATAGTCTCCAAAGTCATGGATTTAACCATTGCCCTGTTGAATACAGATTGGTGTCTAATTGTACCACTTTTATAAACAAAAAATATAAATATTTTCAAAAGCTTTTGTGAAGGTTAAGGGGACAATGACTGATGTAGTGCAGCAGACATAGGAGAAACACCATCAAGACCAATCCTCAAGGAAGAACTTCTTGGCCCAGATGTAGGGAGTGTTGTCAGAGGACAATCCCAGCTGTAAGCCCCTTTAGGGGCTGGAACAGTCTGAGCTGCAGAGAACGCCTGACCTAAGGTCATGCTCTGGTGGGTGGGAGGTGACAGCCGCATCCATTTACTAATGGAGGTGGTTTACAAAGACCTGGCCACTTTGGCCAAACATGGCACTAAACTGATTAACCATTTCAGTTCTAAAGCTTCCATGTTGTTGGCCAAAGAAACACCTTGACTCTTCCATCTGTCTGATCCTGATTCTTTTCTCTTCCATTGTGTTGTTTCCAACAGCACTCCCTAATAAACACTCTAAGCCCTGTATCAGAGTCTACCTCCCACATGATCCAAACTATAAAGTTTTACATCTTCATTATAAACACCCACTACTCTACCATGGTAAGTGCAGGACAGGTTCTCCCTATCAGAAATAAAATCAAGGATGATTTCAGCTGATCAGTCTGCAGATCAGGTACAGGCATTGAGTAAATATTTTCATTCCAAAAGGAATAAATTAGTCAAAAGAAAGGGGCTACAGGCCTTACACAACTATACTCCAACAATAAGAATATGTCTTGTTTTGCCTACAAGGCTACTGAATGTCTCAGCTGCTTGACTATTCTTTGGGGTTTGTTTGTTTGCTTTTAGTGTGGCAAGGAAAGTTAAAGTGTGGCTTAACTTTCTTCATCAATAAAGAAACCTAGTTCGTTCAAGTCTAATTGATATTTGTTTCTTTCTCCTCCCTAAGGGGCATCTTTTCTCTGTGCTGTCGCTTCTCTTTCTACTACCCCAGATAGTCGATGCATTTAGTTGTTTCCTTTTTTCAGGAATATTCTCTTCTAACAACAAGGTACCAAAACCTAATTTCCTAAGTAGCTATTAAAAGGGAGCATCCTGGGCCGGGCACAGAGGCTCACACCTGTAATCCCAGCACTTTGGGAGGCCGAGGCTGGCAGATCCTTTGAGGTCAGGAGTTAGAGACCAGTCTGGCCAACATGGTGAAGCCCTATCTCTACTAAAAATACAAAAAAATAGCCAGGTGTAGTGGTGGGCGCCTATAATCCCAGCTACTCAGAAGGCTGAGACAGAGAAATCGTTGAACCAAGGAAGCGGAGGTTGCAGTGAGCAGAAATTGCACCACTACACTTCAGCCTGGGCCACAGAGAGAAACTCCGTCTCAAAAAACAAAAACAAAAACAAAAACAACAAAAAAGACCATCCTGAAGACCTTTCCTAAAAAGGAATCTAAAGGTAGCCAATTTGGCAAAAAAGCTTTGAAGAAGCATTGTGACAAAGTAAAACAAAGTCAAATAATAATTTATGGAATATAAAATCTCATTATATAAAAAGTAGCCCTTCCTAAAACTTTAAAATATTAATAATAGGACAGCAAAACTTAAAAGTGTCAGATGCAGTTAGACATCAAAATGGTATGTTTCCATTTCAGAAACATTTTTTATTGATGTTGAAGTGAGAATTTTAAAAGAAAAAAAACTACCATTAGTTTCTTAACAACATATAATTTATTTGTAAATGTCTATACACAAAAATCATGAATTTCATCAGTTCAGGAAGAAGATTCCAGGCCATTTTTTTTCTAAATGCTTAATGACACATGTGACAATAAAATATTCAGAAAAAGAAACATGTCACAGAGGACATGACAATTTTGATAAATGATGATAAACTGTGATGTAGAATAGCAGTCTGTAAGCTGCTGTGTTCAAAAACATGTATTTTAATAATGATTTTTGCCAAACACCATTTTGGAGACAGATTTTATGTAAAATCCTTGACAAACAAAATTCATACCTTATTAAAACAGAAATGTAGTTAGTTTTAAATAAAATCGCAATTTTACTTTGAATAAGAGTGCTTTATATCCAATTTCTTGAATTATTAAATATAGTTACCATCAAGTATTAAGTATTGTTACCCAGCAATTCCACTCCTAGGTATACACCTAAGAGAAATAAAAACATATGTTCACACAAAAACTTGTATATGAATGTTCATAGTACCATTATTTATATAGCAAAAAGTAAAAGCAACCCAAATGTTCATTAACTGAAGAATGGATAGACCAACATGATATATCAATACCATGGAATATTATTCAAGAATAAAATACTGACACACACACACTACAACATGGATGAATCTTGAAAACATGCTAAGTCAAAGAAGCCAGTCACAAAAGGCCACTTCATATATGATTCCATTTCTATGTAATCTCCAGAATGAGAAAAACCATAGAAATAAAAAGTACGTAAGTAGTTGCCTAGGGTTGGAACTACATGGGGGATGGGGAGTAACTGATAATGAACATGGGGTTTCTTTTTGGGATAATGAACATGTCCTAAAATTGCTCATGATCATGGTTGCATAGCTCTGTGAATACACAAAACCACTAAATTGTACACTTTATGTAGATGGACTCTATGACAATGTAAATTATATCTCAATAAAGCTGTTTAAACTGCCACTTAAAAAGGCCAGCTATGTTTTAGCTATTTATAATGTGAAAACTTTTACAAAGTATAAATCCCTAATTAACCAAAATATGTTTATTACTGTCCCCAAATGTCGTTTCATTTCCTTTTTATAAAAACATCTGCCTATTCCACTATAAATACTTCAAGTAGTGAAAAGAAGAAAATGCTTCTAAAATTAAATGGTGTTTTCAGGACAGATTTCTTCTTAATATATTTAACTTTGATGATTTGCATGTGAATTATCCCCATGTCCATTAACCATGGTTAAATATGAATCTCAGATAAGTATCCCCCAGTACAAAAGCACACTAATAGGCCATTTCCCCTCCAAGCTCAAACAGCATCGACTACATTTTTAATATGTGAGCTTGAATTTTAAAAAGAAAATTAAGGAGGCAAATCTGTAAGAAAAACGAGCATATGAAATCTCATAGTTTTAGAATGAAAATACGTAGGAGATTAATCCAGTGCAGGGTTACTAAGGCCTCAAAATTTGAGAAATTACTCCATGCACCTTGTGATATTCTCCTATCACCTTACTATTTTGGCTATTTCTATTTATATCAAGTTCAAATTGATTCCATTGATTCTCTTTTTGTTTTCTTTTTTTTTTAACTTAGCCATATATGAGGCAAAAACACCAGTGAACTTGTAGATTTGGTATGCTATTTATATTTTTCTAACAAACTTTAAAATAAATACAGAGCTGGTAAAACTTAAAATGCTCTTATTTATGCCACCTAAAACTGTCCTGCACATGATCAGTAATATATACATCACACGTTGAAAAAAAGTGATCTAGTGTTATTTATAATTTTATAGATGAAAAGGTTGAAAGTAATAGTGGTTCTCAAAAGTCTATGCACATCAGAATCACCTGGAAGCCTTGTGCTAAAATAAACTGCTGAGTCCCTGTATTAGTCTGTTCCTTCTGCATAACAAAATACCTGACACTTTGTAATAATAACAACAGAAATGTATTTCTCGCAGTTCTGGAAGCTGCGAGGTCCAAGATCAAGGTCCCAGCAGAATTAATGTCTGACGAGTGCTGTTTCCAAGATGGCACCTTGATGCTATGTTTTCACATGGCAGAAGAGATTGATGGGCCAAAGAGGCCAACGTAGTTCCTTCCAGCCTTTTCATAAGGTGCTAGTCCCATTCATGAGGTCAGAGACCTCACTACCTAATCATTGCCTCCTAAATGCCCCACCTCTTAATACTGTTACATTGGAGATCAAGCTTCAACATGAATTTTGTAGGGAACACAAACATTCAAGCCATAGCAGTCCCTCTCCCAGAGTTTCTGATTCAATAGGTCTGGGGTGAGGTCTGAGAATTTACATTTCTAACAAATATCCAGTTGGTATTGATGCTGCTGGTCTGGGGACCATCCTTCAAAAACCATCAGCTAAAACCAGCTAAGCCAAAGTTAAAGACAGATCAGAACTGAAATGAGAATCAAGTCTTCTCTTACATGCTCTATATTTATATGCTCTATGAAAAATGTTTAATTCTCTTAATCCTAACTTTTATTTGTTCCTTTCAATAAAATAGATTGTAAAATGCTAAACTAAAGATCAGAGTTTTTTAAATTTTTAAACTTTATACTTTAGAGCAGTTTCAGGTTCACAGCAACATAGAACAGAAAGTAGTGAGAGTTCCCATATAGCCCCTGCCCCACCCACATGCACAGCTTCCCTCACGATGGTCATCCCCCAGCACAGTGGTACCTTTGTTGCAATAAATGAACCTACACTGAAGCATTATTATCACCCAAAGTCCATAGCTCATATTAGGATTCACTCTCAGGGCTGTACATTTTATAGGTGTTGACAAATGTATAATGACATGCATCCATCATTTCAGAATCATAAAAAATAGTTTCACCGCCCTGAAGATCCTACATGCTCTGCCTACTCACGCTTCCCTCCCCACTAAACCACTAATCTATTTAACGACTCCATAGTTTTGCCTTTTCCAGAATATCACATAATCGCAATCATACGGTAGGTAACCTTTGCAGATTGGCTTCTTTCGCTTAATGATATGCACTTAAGATTCTTTTGTGTCTTTTCATGACGTGATGGCTCATTTCTTCTTAGCACTGATAGCACTGAATAGTATTCCATTGTCTAGGTGTACCACAATTTTTTTCTCTATGCACCTACTAATGAACATCTTGGTTGCATCCAAGTTTTGACAATCATAAATAAAACTGCTATAAACATCCATGTGCATGTTTTGTGTGGACATTTCAACTCATTTGGAGAAATACTAAGGAGTGTGATTTCTGGATCATGTGGTAAGAGAACGCTTCATTTTGTATGAAACCTCCTTCCTTTCTCTTAGCCCAGGTATGTTAGGCTCTAATAAAACCTCAGCAGGTTAGACTCTAGGAAGATCGTTTCTCCCGAGGGCGGGTTAGTTAATAAGAATACACAGAATGCTCTGGTATATTTCAAAATGTTCCTTTTCCAATCCCCCTGAATTATTCTCCGATATTCACTATGAGGACCTGATAGTCTCCTGCATGTAAAACTCACAAAAGCGTGGGGGTTCCCCTGAGATAAGCATTATCACCAATTCTGTTTCTTATCATTCACTTGTTTTTCTTGAGTTTTATCACAGTTGTATCCCAAAGTAATATATCATTTAGCTTGTATGTTTTGAGCATTATACTGCATCTGTTTTTATTCGACTGCATTTTTTTATTCCATATAACGTTTGTGAGATGTAGCCCTGTGGTTTTTATCTGTGGTTCATTGCTTCCATAGCTGGACAGTATTTTATCTATGAGAAAACAACACTCGAATTTTTTTTAACATTTTGGTTTGAAAAAAAATTATAGGCACACGGAAAGTTGGAGAAATAGTATGGAGAAGCTTCATGTGCCCTCCACCCAGTTTCCCCAGTGCTTGCATCTTACCTAATTACAGTACAATATCAAAACAGCAAATCGACTTTAGTACAATGTGTGTATATAGTTTTATGTCACTTTATTATATGCACAGCCCTCAATTTTTAAAATCATTCTGCTAACGAACCTCTGAGTTATTTCCTTTATTTGTTGGTTGTCTCTCCCCCCAATTAATAACAATGATTCTACAGATTGGAATGGTGAAAATCCAAACGGTGACAACACCACATAATGGCGAGGATGTGGAGCAACAGAAACTCTCATTCATTGCTGATGGGAATTCAGTGCTGGTGGGAACCTTAATTGCATATTACTAAGCGAAAGAAGCCAATATGACAAGTTTACCTACTGTATGATTGCCACTATATGACATTCTGGAAAAGGCAAAACTATGAAGTCATTGAAAAGATTAGTGGTTGCCAGGTTTTAGTGGGAAGAGAGGGATGAATAGGCAGAGCACATAGGCTCTTTAGGGAAGTGAAACTCTTCTATAGGAATCTACAATGACAGATACATGTCATTAAAGGTTTGTCAAAACTCACAGAATGCACAGCACTAAGAGCAGACCCTAATGTAAACTATGGACTTTGGGTAATACTGATGCAGCAGCATAGGTTCATTAATTGCAGCAAATACACAATTGTGTTTTGGGATGTCGATAGTGAAAAGGTTGCCCTTTTGTGGGGATGAAGGCTATATGGGAACTCTATTTTCTGCTCTATATTGCTGTGATCCTAAACCTGCTCTAAAAGTAGTCTACTAAAATTTTCCAAGCAAGTATTCTGTGAATATTATGGTCATCTCCTGTGTGTGTGTGTGAATATATATAATGCATATAATTATATATAATATATAATAAATATAAACATATATAAATATAAAAGCTCTCCAGAGTCTATACATTGGAATGGAATTGATGGGATTTAAGGTATCTTAAACTTGTCAAGATAAAGTCAAAGTACTTTGCAAATTAGTTCTAACAACCTACTTCCTTTCTAACAATGTTCTGTTTCTCCCATACCTCTGCAGCTCTTGCTATTACTCATTTTAGCTTCTCCAATATACTGGCTGGAACATGATATGTCATTGTCATTTAAATGTAAGCTTCTTTGATTGCTAATGAGGTTGTGTATCTTCTCATATTAGTTTTAGCCATTTGTGTTTTCTCTTTTGTGAGACACTGGTCCCAGTCTTTTTTCCATTGTATTTGGAGCTACTGAACATTTTAACAAGGATAAATAGGGTAGTAATGTAGTAAAACTAAATCTTTTCCCATATGGTTCATGCTTTTTGTATCTTGTTTTTAAAATTCTTCATTATCTGAGGTCATAAAGCTATCTTCTTATATATATTTTTCTAACAATTTCCTAGATTTGTCTTGCAACCAGAATTGATTTTTTTATGTGTGATGTGAGGTAGTATCCATTTTTTTTCTCCACTTAGTTAACCAATTGTCATGTAGCATTTATTGCATTTACCTGTCTTAAGAGTCAAGTCTTTATAAAGAATTTTACATAAATGTGTGGGTCTCTTCCTGGGTCCTCTAGTCTGTCTGAAATCATCTATTATTTTCTTTTTCTACTCAATACTATACTGTGTTAATTGCTATTTTTATAGTAGTACACAGTTTTAATATCTGGGAGGGCAAAACTCCCTGTTCGCTGTTCTGTGTGCGGGCAGGAATGAGCTTGCATGGTCCATGGTGAGTAAAAAGGTGCAGGAATTTTTATATTTTTATTCCATAAAATTTCTAAAACAATTTTAGGATGTGGAGAAATAGGAACACTTTTACACTGTTGGTGGGACTGTAAAGTAGTTCAACCATTGTGGAAGTCAGTGTGGCGATTCCTCAGGGATCTAGAACTAGAAATACCATTTGACCCAGCCATCCCATTACTGGGTATATACCCAAAGGACTATAAATCATGCTGCTATAAAGACACATGCACACGTATGTTTGTTGTGGCACTATTCACAATAGCAAAGACTTGGAACCAACCCAAATGTCCAACAATGATAGACTGGATTAAGAAAATGTGGCACATATACACCATGGAATACTATGCAGCCATAAAAATGATGAGTTCATGTCCTTTGTAGGGACATGGATGAAATTGGAAGTCATCATTCTCAGTAAACTATCGCAAGAACAGAAAACCAAACACTGCATAATCTCACTCATAGGTGGGAATTGAACAATGAGAACACATGGACACAGGAAGGGGAACATCACACTCTGGGGACTGTTGTGGGGTGGGGGGAGGGGAGAGGGATAGCATTGGGAGATATACCTAATGCTAGATGACGAGTTAGTGGGTGCAGCGCACCAGCATGGCACATGTATACATATGTAACTAACCTGCACATTGTGCACATGTACCCTAAAACTTAAAGTATAATAATAAAAAAATAAAAAATAAAAATAAACAATTTTAGGAGAATCATATCTTTTGTAGATTGGTATTTTTCTACTCAGAACTATGATTTATTTTACCACTCATTTAGGTTTTCTCAAGGATCTTTGTTTTATCATTTTCTCCACACAGGTCTTTTCCTGTTTTTCTAAGAGTTTTTCCTAGGTACTTTATATTTTGTATACTACTATAAATGGTATTTTGTTACCTTTTCCAAATATTTGTAGCAAAGTACAGAAATGCAATTGATTTTGTACATTGATTTTGTTTGTGGCATATTTGATAACCTCTTTTATTCATTCTAATACTTAATCTGTATTTTTTTGGGATGGTTACTATGCAGACAAAATATCCTCTAAGACTAGGGATAGCATTGTTTCTTCCTCTTCAATACTAATAATTCTTCTTTTTCTTATTGTATTGTTTTAGCTAGAATTTCCTATATAATAATGCTGCATAGAAATGTTATCTTGCTGATTAAAGATGTATTAACTTGTTTGTAATCTTAAAAAAGAATACTTTCAATGTTTCACCAATAAATATCATGTTTGCTCAATGTTTTTACCTTTTAATCATAGTTCACTGATTTTGTACCATGAATGGATTTTGAATTTTATGGAATGCAGTTTTTACATCTTCTGAGATTATTGTATTTATTCATCCAATTGAAAATTTACTGAGCACCTAAAATATGTCCCACTGTTCTAGACAGCAGAGACAAAGCAGTGACAAAACAGATGAAAATCCTTGTTTTTGGGAAGTTTACTTTCTATTAAGAAAGAACAAATAAATACAATGAATACAAGAAATACATAGTATCTTACATATTGATCAACACAAAAAATAAAAATGAAGTCAAGAAGGGGAATAGGTAGTGTTGGGGTAGGGTGTCTAGATGTTTACAAATACATCTAAAAACAAATGTAGCAGCAAAAATGAGCCTCATTGAGAAGACAACAGGTGAAAAGAGAACTGAGGGAGGAAAGGAAACAGACATGTGGATATCTGGAACAAGAGCCTTCATGCAAAAGAAGAAGCATGTGCAAAGAGAGTAAGTATCGCAAGGAAATATAGAGTACTGCAACAAATTTTAAAAAGCAAAAATTACCTATGGTGAAGATTAACTTACAAATGTAAATGTTAATATATAACTTTAGTCATTTATTCCCTAATAAAAGCAATAAAGCTTAAAAACCTACCATGAAATAGTCAGTGAATATATTCAGTGAATAAGAAAGACAGTTAAAAACATTATAACCACCAGTACTACCAAAGTAATATCCTTATCAATATTTAAATAATTTTATATCAATATAAAGTTAAAATTAAATATTATTTAAATATAAATATTTAAATATTTAATATCAATATTATTTGATTATTTAACTTAAAATAAATTTAATAATATAAATATTTAATACTTTAATAAATTAATATGCTATAACATTAAATATTAAAATAATCATTTCAATATAGAATATAGGAAGATAAGTAATGAACAAAAAATCTTTTTTAATTCAAAGTAAATGTCATCAGAAAAGTTTAAATTGGGTCACACAGACTTGTCAAAAAAATATATATGGAAAAAGCGTAAGTGAAGAAACCAAATAGAAACAAATAGGTAAAGAGGAAAAAACTAAAGCACATCTAAAAACATTAAGCTATGCCAAATGAGAATAAGAAAACTTCTAAATTCAATGGACACAAAGGTGGTCTAAGGAACACTAGTTCACAGATTGTTAATAAGTGTTTATGTTGGGGGGGAAATTAGGTCAAACCAAGTTAATCTGGTTTGTCTATGCAGGACATCTCAGAGTGTTTCAAATGCTACTGTGAATTATGAATTACTAAACTG